>NC_000005.10:98291625-98594655 GCF_000001405.40 Homo sapiens | reverse complement strand
TTGTGGAAGTTAAAAGCTGGTTCTAAAATTTATATGGAGATTCAGAGGGCCAAAAATAGCTAAGACAATTTTGAGGAAGAATGAAGTTGAGGGATATTCTTTGCTGAATATAAAGGCTTAATATGTAGTTAGAACAATTAAGACATTAGTATTGTCCAAAGTATAAACAAAAAGCCCAGTGGAAAGCCTAGAAACAGACTCACCTATGGATAATATGCAACTCCGGGACACTTTGGACTAGGGGAGAAATAATAGTTTTTCACTAAATGATGCCGGGTCAATTCAGTATCTGTATGGGAGAAAATAAAACAATCTACTCCTTCTCTTCACCCTACTGAACACACAAAAGCAATTCCAGGTGGATTGTAGTTATAAATGTGAAAGATGAAAAAAGTAAGGCATCTGCAAGATAACATATGCGACATAAAATATCTTTATGACCTTAGAATGATCAAAGATTTGTTAAACACAATGCACAAATCACTAACAATAAAAAGAAAGATTGATAAACTACATTAAAACTAAAAACACCTGTCAAACGTTCTCTTAATAAACTGAAAGAGTAAACCACTGCTTCTTTCTTTAAAACTCAAGATCTGTAGTTGTTTTCATCCCAAAACACCTATTTTGTTTATATTTTCAGATGAGATATTCTCTTAGCAAATGTTAACAATACTAATTTTAAAAATGGCTTGTTTTCTCTTGGATTTTAATTATTCTGTTTTCAGAATTTGTTTCTTCTTTTCACTGTTTTGGTTTTCTTCAAATGTTGGATGATGATTGCTTGTTGAGTTCATTTTATGCTGATATTTAAACTCCTGTTTTCCCATTTGTGAATTGGGGAACTTCTGACTAGAGGAAATTTCCTTCAGTTATTGTGAGGGAGGGTTGGTTTGTGCCACTGGAGTGGGCATGCAGGTGGTGTGTCTACTCGGTTTGTGGGCTCCTTATCCTCTTGCTAAACACTATCAACCTGAAGCATTCCTCTGTGTCTGCAACCCCATTTCCTGCATTTGTGCTTTAGACTAGAAGTAAACGCCGCTCTTATCTCTCAGCTATTGTTCAGCATAAACAGAAGGCGAAGTAGATGCTGACCTGTCTGTAGCTGCATGTGCATTCTCCAGTTCCACTGTGAGCACCACCAAGACCTATCTACTTCTTGGATCTCTTTGCTTTTAGTTTGGAGCATCCTTCACACTTCATAGAATTCTTCTCTCTTCCATATTTCAGAGTAAGATTTTTCTTATCTGCATGGCTGGTTTTAGGACATGAGACCTGTACAGTCCTACAGGTTTCTGTACTCAAGAGGGCCCTTGAACTTGGTTTAATGCTCTCCTTTCACCCTCTTGAAATTCTTAATGATTTTTGGACATGGATTTTCATTTTGTACTGGGCCTTGTAAATTGTGTTGCTGGTCCTCTTGGTCTGATACCTCTTTCAATAAATCTTAGTTCCTTAATAGCTTTCAGAATTCCTCAAACATTTTCATCTGTAATGGTAATTCTTTCCTGTATTCAATTACATTACTGTTTTTATTTTTTTGTAACCTTTATTGAGATACAACATGTGCTCATTTTAAGTGTACAATTCACTGATTTTTCATAAATTTACAGAATTTTGCAACCACCACAATCGAATTCTAGAAAATTTCCATTGTTTCAAAAAGATCTCATGGGACTATTTGTAGGCATTTTCTGTTTCTGTCCTCAGCCCCAGAATTTTTTGTATTTTAGATATATTTTAAAATATGAATTCTTGGGGGGTATACATATGGAAGGGGGGAATATTAGTTTCCCCTTCAAGGAAGCTAGAAGAAGAAGAATCTTTGACAGTGTTACAGTCTTCAAAAGAGCATGTGTGAGACCATCTATCTGAGCAGCCAGTTGTCTTTCTTTTCCTTTCTTCTCTAGTAGGTGGTTGGTGAGAGGCCATTGTTGAGTGAATTCAAGTCTTATGATAAGATAGTGAATAGAATCTGTTTGGATTTAGGTACCCTATTTCAACAAAACTTCTCTTTGCTTTATTTTGGACTCTTAACAGAAAAAATTTATTTGAAAATAGCATTACCATACTTCTTAAACCCATATGTTCTTAAACTCAATAAAACAATAATTAGAAATATATTATACAAAGCAGATTTTTTACAGTCATCTTTCTTTTGATTTTAAGTTATATTAGATATTTACTTTTTTTGATTATAAAATTTATAGATGGTTATATTTATAGAATTATAAAATATAGAATAGTATATAGAAGAAAAGGAACTCTCAAATTATTATAACACCATATCACATTTCCTCCTAATATTTTTATTTGCAAATACATGTTTATCTACTGGGGTGCTTTTTCTTTTTCATCCAAAATGAAATTATAACTCATATGCAACTTTTTGCTTGCTTTTTTCACATATATGTGTGATCATTTATACGTATTCATAAATATTCTTCAAATACATAATTAATTTGTGTGAGTGACAACTGACCTGGACAAAGCAAGAGCCTTGGATCAGGGTCTCAAATAATGGGCTGAACATGGGAGTGATTAAATACCTGAATGTGATTTTGAATTTTCTAGATGATGCTGTAGCAAGTTACTCAAGATGATAGAAATTCTTTTTTTTTTTGCATACAATTTTCTTTCTTTTTTTTTTTTTATTATACTTTAAGTTGTAGGGTACATGCGCATAACGTGCAGGTTAGTTACATATGTATACATGTGCCATGTTGGTGTGCTGCACCCATTATCTCTTCATTTAACATTAGGTATATCTCTTAATACTATCCCTCCCTCCTCCCTCCACCCCACAACAGGCCCTGGTGTGTGATGTTCCCCATCCTGTGTCCATGTGTTCTCATTGTTCAATTCCCACCTATGAGTGAGAACATGCGGTATTTGGTTTTTTGTCTTTGTGATAGTTTGCTGAGAATGATGGTTTCCAGCTTCATCCATGTCCCTATAAAGGACATGAACTCATCATTTTTTTATGGCTGCATAGTATTCCATGGTGTATATGTGCCACATTTTCTTAATCCAGTCTATCATTTTTGGACATTTGGGTTGGTTCCAAATCTTTGCTATTGTGAATAGTGCCACAATAAACATACGTGTGCATGTGTCTTTATAGAAGCATGTTTTATAATCCTTTGGGTATATACCCAGTAACAGGATTGCTGGGTCAAATGGTATTTCTAGTTCTAGATCCCTGAGGAATCACCACACTGACTTCCACAATGGTTGAATTTGTTTACAGTCCCACCAACAGTGTAAAAGTGTTCCTATTTCTCCACATCCTCTCCAGCACCTGTTGTTCCCTGACTTTTGAATGATCGCCATTCTAACTGGTGTGAGATGGTATCTCATTGTGGTTTTGATTCACATTTCTCTGATGGCCAGTGATGATGAGCATTTTTTCATGTGTCTGTTGCCTGCATAAATGTCTTCTTTTGAGAAGTGTCTGTTCATATCCTTCGCCCACTTTTTGATGGGGTTGTTTGCTTTTTCTTGTAAATTTGTTGGAGTTCATTGTAGATTCTGGATATTAGCCCTTTGTCAGATGAGTAGATTGCAAAAATTTTCTCCCATTCTGTAGGTTACCTGTTCACTCTGATGGTAGTTTCTTTTGCTGTGCAGAAGCTCTTTAGTTTAATTAGATCCCATTTGTCAATTTTGGCTTTGGTTGCCATTGCTTTTGGTGTTTTAGACATGAAGTCCTTGCCCATGCCTATGTCCTGAATGGTATTGCCTAGGTTTTCTTCTAGGGCTTTTACGGTTTTAGGTCTAACATTTAAGGCTTTAATCTATCTTGAATTAATTTTTGTATAAGGTGTAAGGAAGGGATCAAGTTTCAGCTTTCTACATATGGCTAGCCAGTTTTCCCAGCACCATTTATTAAATAGGGAATCATTTCCCCATTTCTTGTTTTTGTCAGGTTTGTCAAAGATCAGATGGTTGTAGATAGGCAGCATTATTTCTGAGGGCTCTGTTCTGTTCCATTGGTCTATATCTCTGTTTTGGTACCAGTACCATGCTGTTTTGGTTACTGTAGCCTTGTAGTATAGTTTGAAGTCAGGTAGCATGATGCCTCCAGCTTTGTTCTTTTGGCTGGGATTGAGAAATTCTTTGTATTAGTCCATTTTCATACAGCTAAGAAGACATACCTAAGACTGGGTAATTCATAAAAAAAGAGGTTTGATGTGCTCACAGTTCCACATGGCTTGGGAGGCCTCACAATCATGATGGAAGGCTAAGAAGGAATAAAGGCGCGTCTTACATGGCGGCAGGCAAGAGAACGTGTGCAGGGGACATAGGACGGTTATAAAACCATCGGATCTGCTGAGACGTATTCACTATCATCAGAACAGCACAGGAGAAACCCGCCCTCATGATTCAATTACCTCTAACTGGGTTTCTTCCATGACATGTGGAATTATGGGGGCTATAATTCAAGATGAGATTTGGTTAGGGACACAGCCAAACTGCGTCATTCTTCTTCTTCAGACCACCTTATTCCAGAACTCTAATAATGAAGCATGCTAGACAAGGTGGAAGATTCTTTTAACTAATGTACTTAGCCAGATTAAAATAGCTTCCATTAAAAAAATGTGAATACTTTCTACATATTTCTTAATATGTTTATATTACAGTATTTATTTGTATTTTTCTGCCCCAGTAGATTGTTGCTCCACATAGGTGAGATCTGTGCTTAGTGAAGGTGCTAGCACAGAGAAGGTCTTTAATGAAAGTTTGTTGATGAGAGAATGAGAAAGAGATGAGATCTAATTTGGCTCTTAATCACTATATGGACCTCTGAGTAAGCCCCTCTAACTCACCAAATGCAGGAAGCACATAGATATGTAACTTAATTAGCTAAGTCCTATAAAGGCATATAAAATCACTTGGCAAGGTGTTTAGCACATCATAAGCACTCTATAAATACTAGTTATTATTATTAATAAAAAAAATCTGTCTCCATATGGTCAGAAGCCAGAGCACACAGCACTGGAGGCCAGGGGCTGTAGTGGCAGCAAATGGGTAGCAATTGTGGCGCCAACACCCAGTGTAGGGGAGGGGCCCTCTCTCGTCTGGTTTTTCCAATTGAAAATGTGCTTGGAGTAACCCTCCAGCCAACCTTTTTTTCATCTGCAGATATATTATTGAAAACTGTAGCTCAGCCTTGTCAGTCCAAATTATATTAGGAGGATTAGGAGATGTTCTGCAAGGAGAAAACAGAATTTGGCAATTTGATTTCAGGAAGACTTGAAAGGTCAGAGATAAAAGGCCAAGGTGGATTTAAAAAAGGGCTTTGAGCTTCTGCAGTGAGGAACAACAATTCAGAGCAAGAATGACAGTTAAGGAAGTTTAGGTGTAATCTCTTCAGTAAGAATCATCAACCATGGTAGACATTTATTTGTTTATTTGAGGAGGTGGGAGATACACTGAGCTGTCTAAAAGGAATGCAGTTCTTTAATTTTGCTTTTCTCATAAGATTTTTAGTTAAAATAGTATTTCTGACCCATCAAAACATTTTTCCTTATTTAGGGAAGCCAAAAGGTTATTTTAATTCTGCCTTAGTGTTTCTTATTATTTTTGTCAACTTTTACCCAAAGTTCCTTTTAAAACAGTGCTAAAGTGTTCACGCTATAAATAAAATCTGTTCCCTTCTTGTAAACAATTGGCAATTATGTAAGAATCGAATGAAATAAATACACATGTGAGGTTTTTCAGAGTATGTCTGTACACAGTCATTTGTTTTACTACTAGTTTTCATGTTATGTTTATTGTTGGTTGTTTGCAGATGAAAGTTGTTGTTGTTGCTGTTTTGTAAACCAGCTATAGTTCTGATAAGTAGATATTTGAGCCTGAAATATAACTATGTGTTCTTGCTTACTAAGTGATTAATATTATAGATTTGGTGTCTGACTTCAAATGAATCACTCAACATCCCAGCTGCAATTTTATCTATAAAATGAAAATAATAGTATTCTGCTTATAAGGTTCTTGTGAGCATTAAATGAGAAAATAAATGTATTGAGCATAGGAAGTAGTACATACTAAATGCTCAACAAACTGCATTTAAAAAATTATTTAAATGCGTGAATTTGAGAGACAGTCTAGCAGGCATTGTTTTCTTGACAGATGTTTATATGACTGTGCAGGAAGATTGTAAACATCTGTGCTTTGGTTACCATTTCCCTGATTTATTTAACCATGTGGATTTTGTCAGCTATTTTAAACTAATCAGACACAGGCATTGCCATTTATACCACACAGATGGTTTCTTCAAATCATTAACAATGCCTGGGTGGGGCATCCCCTGAGACTGGGAAACTGCAAAAATTAACAGGCAAGGAAATTCGAGCTTTTGAATTTTGAGTGTTCTGGAGGGCTTCTAAGCGCCTGTCTGCCTCAGTTCTGATGCTAAAAAATTCTATCTTTCCAAATATATTTTCTTAGTTAGTACCATCAGGACTGCCTGTCTCATTAGAAGGTCTGAGGCTGTGTTAGACAAAAAAGCAAGTGGAAAAGGTTGAGAGACTTAAAAAAGCACAATTTAATACCTGTTCCAATATTCATTTTTATTATCAGAACATTAAGCAATGTGAAGGTAAAAGAGCAGATTTGTTTTTGAAATGGCCTTTTTACAAAAGTATTACATACCCATTGTAGACAATTCAGAAAACACACGGAACAGAAACACATTTTCCAATAGTCCTTCTACCCAAAGAGAACCACCCTTGACATTTTGATTATATCTTTCATTTTGATTACTTTCGTACATATGCACATACACATATGCATATACTTTAGATGCATACATACATATAGGTGTATTTTACAAAAATGAAGTCACATTTCACAGTGTTTTGTAATCCACTTTTCATACTTAGGTATTCCTAAACAATTTTTACATAATTTTTTGTCATTTTATAAGATTCTTTAAAAGGTAAACAATCCACTGCAAAAAGAAAATGTTATTTCTTCTCCCAATCTCCTAATTATTGAGTTAGTTTGCTTTTAATCTTGTTAGGAAATGACTGGTAAACAGTCTTTAGCTAAAAAGGGAAAAATTTGAAAGACATTGGTTGGGCATCACATCCAAGTTCTCTATTCTGAAAAGATTTTCCCTGCAAAATGATTAAATTTGAAATAACTTAGTATTAGAAAACAACATAAGGAAATAAACAAAGTTTTTAAGGCAAAATACGTGAAAACCAGAAGCTACAACCTTCACTGAATAGAGGGAGTAGACAATATGGATACCTATGGAGTCTCTCAGTAATGACGGTTCTCGCTTTGCACAGTCACATGGGCTATAAAAATGACCTTGTAAACAGAAACCTTGCAAAGTGGTGCTCGTAGCTAGTGGGAAAAGTTGATCGTTCCATGACCTTTAAAAATTTCTGTCAAACATTAAAAACTCTCTTACTGTTTGTTATAAATGTACTGTATAGGAAAATAAAAAAGAATAATATTTAGTATACTGTAACTTAAAACGTTACAAACATTGGTAATTAAATGTTTATTTCTTTGTAAAAAACTGATCAAAAATAGTTTGAGCAGTGCTTGCCTTCTTCTTTTTGAGCATAACTTGTGATATATACAAGGCACATTTTCTATGCCTTAGCAAATTTTGATCACATTTTGACATTGTATCCTTGGTGCTGTCAGTGTTGTGAATTATCTCCGGTAGTGCCTTTAACATGAAGTTATTTTTGCAAGCATATGGCATTTCCTCTGGGACACTTTCATCCTGTTCATTAGAATCACTTTTCTCATTCATGTCTACGTGTCTATACGTTTGCTGTCTCTAAGCACTTCTGACCGTATGTCTAGAGTCTCTCTAACAACAGCTATGTCAAAATGCCCACCATCAGCAATTTCTTCTATAACTCCATGAATGTTTGATTTGGATTTCATTTCCAGCATTATTACTTTTCATTTCTTTGCTGTACTTTCATCTTTGTTGACAAATCCCTTTTTTGGATTATCAGTTTTTGTAAAATGTCATACAAGTTTATCACAGGGAGACAAGGAGGCAACATAGTCACATGCTTTGCTTTCTGTGTATGAACTGAATAGAAAATGTGAAGTGACAGACCACCAGCAGGCTTTGTAAAAGGTGACATGATTGGTCACTGATCAGGATATGTATCTGTTATTTATGCAATGACTTGTAGGCTAACAAGGCAGCGGCGAAGTTTGTGCCTTATGCAATTACTCACAGTTAATATACTGTGGTAATGGAAATGTGAACCACGTTGCTGGGGACCAGTGTTATTTAACTAAACCATGGTAATGGAAATTTCCATATTGGAGCTGTAAAAAGCAAGTTCGGCCTTTACATATTACATATAATGGATGAAAGGGACGTCTTCCCAAGTTGGTTTTTGTAGGCTCTAATGGCAATGGCAGCATCTCTCCTTATCCCAAGCTACCAGGGGAACAACATTGGCCTTATGGAATCTAAAGAATATGTTTTACTTAGGTCTCTATGGCATTTCCCATAAAAGGGTCCTGAATCATCCTGATCAGGTGACTCACTGAAATAGAACAAAATGTAGAAATCATATTTCTTATTGCTTCTCTGATGCTGCAGCACAGCTGAGTTCACTGAGGAATTGGGTCTAGCTGAGGGATCTGATTGGTTCCTCCCATTATTCCTTGGTAACTTTCCCTCTCTACCCTTCCACCCCCTTCGTAGGTAGTGGCAAAAAGAGGCTCATGTTCTGCATGGCCAAGTCTCAGTGATAGTTCCTGCATGATCAATCTTTGAAGTCAAGTTTAGGTCAATGGTGTTTAACACAGAGTGGGGGTGAAGGGAAAAGAAGCCAAGAACGTTGAGGAATTTGTGGCTCAGTCTGTAAACAAAGAGGATTGATGTTGGTTGAAGACAAAAGAGGATTCATTGGAAAGAAGGTGAAATGGTCTTAGAAAAAAGGAGTTGAAGCTAGAGAGATTCCTCACAGAGTTTGATATATTGTCTCAATTATCTTTGCACCACAGTGTCGGTTGCAAAGGAAGACTATATAGATGTTTGTTAAATGAAACAAAAAGTAGTTTTATTGATATATGGGAATCCACCACAAAGACAAACATTTTTAAATTAATTTTGGAGAAATAATATTTTTATAAAACCTAGATTAAATATGACTATATAGGGCACACAAGTAAAATGGACCAAAGATGACAGTTAAGTACCAATATATTTAATGGAAAAATTTATTTTTTCTTTCTGTGGTTCATGATTTGTGCTCCTCTTCACTCTAATGTAGTTTCTTGCTTAAGGCTTTCCAATGGCTTCCATTGAACAAAGAATAAAATCTAAAATGTTTTCCATGGCTCACAAGGCCTGTGCAATCTGGTTCCTAACAAATTTTCTGATCCTAACTCTTACTCCTCATCCTTTACCATTCTCTTCCTACCCTCAAATATGTTTTAGTTACATGGGTCTTTTATTCTGTTCCATAAACATGCCAGGCTCATTGTAGTCTTAGGGTCTTTGCTCTCAGTATTGCCTTTGCTAGGCAAGTCCTGTCTGTAAATCTTCACATAGAAAACCCTTAGCAAAGTGCCTAACATATGGAAAGAGTCAATAGTGTTATTAATTAAAATATTGTTCTTTAGATGTTCTTCTATTCTTAAAATGCCTGATTGTTCTGGATTTTCTTATTCACTTTTGCTTGTTTTCAAGGCAAAGAATGAATAATAGTAACCTTTCTATAGGAGAAAAGATGGCAGGTATGTCTACATCAGTCAGGACAAACTGGTTTTGCTGCAGTTACAAACAGTCCCACAAATCTCAGTGGCTTAAATCAAGAAAGGTGACTTTTTTACCTAATGCTACATGTCCAGTGTGGACTGGCAAGACAGTTCAACTTATAGTGGAGATACACTAACATTTTATGGTAATACCAACTGAACATGAGGTTTCAGGGTTTGCCATGTCAGAAGAAGGTAAGAATACAGAGTAGAGCATTGTCAATTAAATGGTTTATTCCGCAAGTGACACAAATTATCGCTTAGCTTTTACTTACCCTAAGTCTAGATCTACTATCTCCTACCCACATTCTCATTTTGATGGCAGGGAATCAGTTTTTAAATTGGGGTTTTCAAAATAATTTCGGGGTGCTTTCAACAGTTCAGATTCCTGGGTCCTGTCCTCTGAGATTCTGATTCTAGGTTGGGGAATGGTAATTGAGATATTGGTATTAATTCTAGTGACTCAATTGTAGGTGATTTGAAAGTCATGCTTAGAGGAACACCACTGTAGTGACTAGAACTATGGTTGGCTTATTGCAAGAGCTTAATAAATATTTTTTATTTATTAAATATTATTAAATATTGACTCTAAAATAAGGGTTTTCTTATGAATAAAGATTTAAATAAATGAATCTGTAATTTAGATAAAAAATTGAATATGCTGAATTGCATTAGAAGGAGAAGAAGGGCTAAGTGTTTTATTCCTTCACTCTAAAATAACTTCTACTTTTTGGGAGGAGGTAACGCTGGTACTCTTTCTTTTACTTTGTGCAGGTCACTAGGTTGATCCACACAGTAGGCAAGCTACATCATATCTCTTGCTCAGGAAGAAGACACGAGTTTAAGGATATTAAAAAAAAAAAGAAGTGGATGAATCCTTTGATTTATTCCGTATGAAATAGACTATGGAGAAAGCAAATCTAATCTCATGTAATTAGGAGTTATTTTAATTGCATGAACCACAGGCCACATTTCTTTTACAATGACAGATAATGGCCTTTTAAAAATCTTGCATTGAAAAATCTATTGGCAAATAACTTTTAAACCTCAACTAACTGGCAACTAAGCTCTTTGTCACTTATCTCTGCAGTATTTTCACACTCTGATCACAGAATAACAAGACTAGGAGTAAAGATCATAACGGCATCATAAAAACAGAACCATAAATGTGGACTTCAAGTGAAGTTAATGTTCCATTATGATAGATTACCCATCCCCTTGAAAAGCTCAACTATTTTAAAATCAGTTCTGCTGAATTTTTAATATTCAGGCTATTCCCTGAGAGGGAGCTTTGGGCTGGAGGTCTCCACGGGTATTCACAAGCATTATGTTTGGGTTCATAAAATCTGAAGGCTTCTAAAGTATTAAAACTTTCATGCAAAGCATGCAAAAAAAAAAAAAAGGAAAATCCACCATCAACGAGTAACTAGTGCTTAAAATATCCATTGTTGTTTTAAAAATTAATTTGAAGGAGATTATATTTTCATAATTGCTATAAGGTCTTGCCTTAATAGTAACACTATTTTTTCTCTTCTAAGCAAGTTAGATAATGTTAGACTATTGTTATGGGTATGAATATGGACACATATCTGGGAGAGTAGGCTAAAGGGAAGATGACAAGAGAAAATTTGCTCAGTTACTGTCTTGCTGAAAATATTGGGTGTTTCTTTAATATATGTATTCTTACCTGCCAACCTAAGTGTCTTGACTGGAAAGTGAATAGTCTATAACAGGTAATTTTGCCTTTTCCTGAATGTGGATCAGGTTTAGCGGATACTTCTCTAATAGGTGATAACAAACTAAAAGGCTCAAATAAATCCAAAATTCACATGCACTAAGTCTTATTTCTTATTACTACAGGAAAGTTTATGTTTTTCCTTGCTTACATGTAAGAAGACAGTGTGCACACATGGTCCCCTCTTCTGTAGATTTCTGTGTAGTGTTCTTGCAATCCCAGTCATGAGCATACATAGTGAGGGATTTGCTTGTGATGTGTTTGTTAATAGGCTAGACTTCACAATATTGCCTTAAAGCACAGAAGAGGGAGCCAGAAACTGGGAGCCAGAAGTTCTATGTCATCTATTTAGCTCTGGACTTTTTTTTTTTTTTTTTAATGCAGATGCAGATTTGAGTTAATCATATTCCTTAGCTCATGGTTCCTTATCATTACTGGTCCTGGGGAAGCCCCTCTTTTATTTCTTCATCCTATTTTGTTCCATTTCTCATATCTATTTCCTTCTTTCCTCCAGAAAATAACCTAATGTGTTTGTTATATATCGTTGTGTTTGTATGTGTTCTTGTGAAATGTGTATTGCTGTTTCGTGTACTTGCATTTTAAATTTTTATAAATGGGGCTAGGTTATAAATCTCAGTCTGATTTTCTTTGTTTTCCTCAGATACTATTTATGTTGCTGTATGTATTACTGCTGTTTCAGGCTTGTCATTGCTGTATCATTTATTAGTATCTGTGTGGTATTTACTCTGTTTTTAAATTAAATTAAATTACATTTTATAGACACAGGATCTTGCTATGTTGCTTAGGCTAGTCTTGAACTCCTAATCACAAGCATCCCTCCCACCTCAGCCTCCCAAGTAGCTGGGACTACAGGCCTATGCCACTGCACGTGGCTTCAGATACTCTTTTAAAAACCACAATTTTGATGATCTTTTCTCATAATTTATTATTAATTTGTGCATTCCCTATCCCAGCTTTCTAATAATCAGATATATTTTATAAATGAAGAGCGAAATATACCAGGTTGAGGGCAAACAGTGGCCTTTAATAACATTTTCCAGTGAGGCTCTGAAATGGCATAGGACTATCACAGCTCTTTGAACAAGTAGAAGACTTCTCTTACTAGGCAAAGACCTACTATACCTGGAGTACTCCATACTACTCTTTCAGTCTTGCCATACTTTGATTTTAGATATAGCCTACTTGATACCATGAGGCTATCCTTTACAAAGCTCATTTTCACTGAAACGTAGAAGCTGCTACATCATGTAGAAGCTGTTGGATCAGGGATGTATAAAGAAATATATAAAATTTAAGTAACATAAAGCCAGAAGGTCCTGGAGTCAGGCCTGCATTTGACTCTGGTTTGCTTAGTCACCATGCATAGTCATTAAATGACTTTATCTTTTATTCTTCACAGATCTTGGACTATAACCCAGGATATTTTGAGTTTCTTAAGAAAAAGTGATTACTATTATTAAGTAGAACCAATTCCTTTTCTCTTTTAAGATTTTTGGTTCCTAATGAGAACTATGAATCAGACTGAGGAGGACCTGATCCTGAGAGCAGTAGGCAGTTTCTTCACTCTTTGGAACTGGACCAGGAGGCTATGTGCCTAATCTGCTCCAAAATCATTCCTTTCTGTCTTTCACTGAAGCCTGAACACAGTCCAGGAATTAGGTACTAATTAATGTCAACACATTACAAATGAAGAAAGAAGGGAAATTGCTTGGACTCATTCTTGAGAAAATCTTCAGAAATTTGCTTCAGTTAAAGTTAATGTGTGTCTCAGGCAGCACTGAACCAAATTGTAAAATGCTGCTCATGTGGATGAGTGACCTGGAGGTGACCCTTTTGAGAGTCTTGACCAGCATTTGTTTCCATATCCTGTCTATTTTGTCATGATACTGCTTACAGCATTGATGATTGGTGGGATCAGAGAGGGCAAGAATCAAACTATGGCTTCATTAGCTCAAAGTTCTACAGGGCCTACACAAGATTTTAGGACATATTTTTCAAAATGACTTTTCTTATTTTCATTCATTGCTGCTTTATGGATGTCAGGGAACAGCTTTTTAAAGAGTGAAACAAATAGATTGTTACATGGATTTTAGGAAATCTTCATCTTTTAATCAGAAGCAGATTTTAGATCATGTTTTTATGTATATAAAATTAACAACTGAAGGTTAAAACCCAAAGAATCATTTTAAATAACCATGAAAATAAACGTACTAATATGTCATGTTTGATCTAAAGTTATGAGAATGAGTCCAATATGTGGGATACCAATCAGGGGTGAGACTGTATTGAGGAAAGGCAGGCTCATTTTGCAGAAAAATTAGTTGAAGCTATAGTAAGCCACAATGGGGTTCAATTTTGTGCTCATTGTTCCTTAGGCTTCCTTATTATATTTTTCCACTTTATGAATGCCATTGATGTGCACTTTACTAAACTTCACCTGATTTGCTTTGCTCAGGCCTTCAACTAACTAGAGAAGATGCTGTACTAGCTAAGTTCTCTATCTCTAATGCTTAGCACAGCACCTGACACACAGGATGGGCCTAAATTGCTGAATAAATGAGGACTGCAGAATAATGGAGACATCCCTATAATGCCACATCAAGTTTTGACCATACTAGTAAATAATTGGAGAACCCATTTTAGTGTGTAGATTTTAGAGTTAAAAAAACTCTTGATTTCAGTCCCAACATTATATGGTCTTGGATTAGTTACCCCCTTTAAATCTAAATTTCCTCATCTGTGAATTAGAGTTATTAATAGATTAATGGAGAAAAAGGAAGAAGACTATGACAAAGACTTGTTTGACCACATCAACCCCAGTGATTTTCCTGAAATACTGCCTGGAAGCTAAACATTGGGTACACATGGACATACAGAGGGAAATAATAGACCTTGGAGACTTCAAAAGAGGGCAGTGTAGGGAGGAGTGAGGTTGAAAAATTACCAATGGAGTATTATGTTCACTATTCAGGTGAAGGGCTCACTAGAAATATAAAGTTCTAGAAAAATTGGCTTTGGCTTCTAATTAAATGCCGCCTTGATTGTTCTCTAACAGGCTTATTTTTTTCTAAATCTTAATGTGAGGGCTGGAATAAAAGGATTGAGAAGCATGCATTTTCCCTCTATTTTCCCAAGCACCCAGCACAGATTACAGTTTCTTAGCCATATTATATAGGGATGAATATGGAAGAACATGAAAATGAAAAAGTCAAGATAAATATGGCTTATTAGAAAATTATCTTTTGAAACTTCCATGTACACATTCGCCTTCTGGCAAATAATTGGCATAATTTCCATTGTGTTTTGGTAAACTCCAAAAGATGAGAGAGCTGGGAGAGAAATGAGAGCAATGGAGCAAAGGATGCAGAACTCAGTCTGGAAAACAAGTAGTTTAGAAGGACTGGGGAGAGAAGTCTCCTAGGAGAATAATTTGTTTCTAATAGTGATAGTATGGAGGGGGAGTTTTCTTTTTCTCTCTCTCTCTTTTTTAAAGCTGAAAGCACAAAACACACTTTGAAACATTTAAAAGCTGAAAGAAATAGATTTTTTTAAAATTTTAGAATGATGCCATAAACTTATAAGTTGTCTTATAGAGCATGCTTACAAGTGAAAGACATATATTAGACATGTTAAAATAGCTATCTATGTGGATGAGAAAAAAAGGGCTAAAAGGGAGTGAATACATAGATTAGAGGGAGCTTGCTCAGATGACTGGTGATCAAGAGCTTTGAATTGAATATGATTAACTCTTCGTACCTGGGGTCCAATAGAAACCCACTATCACCACCACCAAAACAACAAAACGGAAATACACTGTGTGATGATGCTAGTTTTTTATGGAAATGTGTTTCATTTTATACACCGCAAAATGATGCTTCAGGCTCTGAATTGCCTTGGATTCTTAGGTCCTGGTGTAAGTGTGAGGTATGTGTGCATGTGTAGTGTTTGTGTGTGCACATACATGTGCATAGATACCTATTCTAACATGTTTAATACATATCTTTCCTTACACCAAAGGAAAAGAAGAATAAAGACACCTGCACTTATATGTTTATCACAGCAATATTCACAATAGCACAGTCGTGAAAACAACCTAAGCGTCCATCAATGGATGACTGGATAAAGAAAATGTAGTTTATGTATACCATAGAATACTACATAGCCATAAAAAGCATGAAATCATTTCTTTTGCCGCAACATGGATGGAGTCAGAGGCCATTATCCTAAGTAAAATAACTCAGAAACAGAAAATTAAATACTGTCTAGACGCTAAACAACGGGCACACATGTACATAGAAAGGGAAATAACAGACATTGGGAATTTTAAAAGGGGGAAGGGTAGAGAGGGGTAAGGGTTGATAAATTGCCAATGAGGTATTATGTTCACTATTCAGGTGAAGGGCATACTAGGAGCCCAAACCTCACCATTACAAAACATATCCATGTAACAAACCTGTAAATGTACCCCTTAGTCTATAAAAATAAAAAAAATGCTGCTGCAGCAAAAAACACAATAATGTGTACTCTATTAAAATACAATTAGATAAGCAGTTGTTATAAGCTTGAAAAGTCTGCCTCTTTTACCAGGGTGAAAAAGTTGGAATCCATACATAGATAATAAAAAGGGAAGGATATAGGAACTTGTCTGAAATGTAAGACAAAGGAAGATAAAACACGATTTTTCTTTTTTTTTTTTAACAAATTTTAATTACTTTTTATTGAAAACTACACTGAACGCTAAATGTCCACCTTTACAATAAACAAATACAGTAATGGTAACTCACACTAAAACAAAACATACTTCTAATAGCCATTATTTTTCTGCTTGGGACAATTTTAAAGTTTTTCTTTTGTCACAAAAACAGGAATGTACCTATACAAAGGCTCAAAATAGGCCATCTTTTTAAAGAAAAAGGCAATGATTCACAAAAGACTATGAATAGAACATGCAACTAGTTGATACAAATCTAATAGGATTTGTTAAAATCAGTCACATCTAATACACCTGAAGTGTTCTTGTATAAAATAGCACATGAAGAAAAGAAGACTTTATCAATGTCTAAAAAAGTGGGTTTGTTCATAGACAATCTGACAAGTTACCATAAAAAGTATTTCCTGAGACATAAGGAAATGCAACATTATTCTTCTTGAACCTTTTAGCTCAAGACTTTCCACTCAATAAAATAGCAGAGGATCTGAAACTGAGAAAATATATTTGAGTACAAACAGCTTGTGGAACTTAATACTTTTTTTTTTTTTTTTTTGCATCATCAGAGGGTTTTACTGAACTTACAACCAACTTGCCCGCTCAGGATGCAGTTCAGACGTGAGACACTTCTCTGTACAGGGGCCTGTATTGTCTTCAATCCTATGCATGCAGGTGTCTACCACAGGCAAGCAGTTTTCTCCCCATTTTGTAGTAATGTGATTTTCCTATTAGCAAAAAAGAGGTCACCAGCCCCTGTAGACTTAAGGGACTCAAGTCACAGGATGGGGATTTCCTCTTAATATTTTTTATTTTGTTGTTTGAACTCTTGATGCAACATTGTAGAGCAGGGTGTTCAGGACCTGCTGTGCCCAACGGACTGATAAAAGAAAAAGCTCTATTTATTCTTTGTGATTTGATGCACAGATGAAAAGCTTAACACACAATAACAGAAGTTGGTCGTTAATAAATCACATCCTAGTCTTTCAGCGCTTCCGTAAGCAGACGACATCTTTAGTTTTCTAGCTCTTGTAGTTTTAACACTGCAACATCAATGATGCATATGCCCAGAATCAGTTACAAAGACCATCCGATTCTTTTTCTCTTAGTTCATCTATTTTTCACTGTCTCTTGGTCCCAAGTGTATCTGAGTGATTACCTTCTGGCATTCTCTGCTATTGCTCGTTGGGGTGCTCTCGATTGTCCACGTGTTTTGTGGGCTGGTTGGGAGAGGGCGCTTGGGAAGGATGTGCCACTGTCGGGAGGTTGTGAGTCACTGGGATGCCTCCAGGGATGATCCCTTCCATGGCGGCAGAAAGTCCTCCTGGAGCCACACCCACGACGCCTGGCGGATATCTGTATGTGGCACCATTGAGCTCAGGATGAATTGCTTGCTGGTCTATTACTGACCAAGGCGCTGATGTGACAAAGAATTCCTTGTTCACACAATTTCTTAAGCTTTCTGGGATGCAACCTGTGATGGCTCGGCGGATCTCTGTGGCAGCTGCCTCCCTCATCTCCAGTGACGCCTGCTCGCTGTACCAGGCAGTGTGAGGAGTGCAGATGAGATTCGGGGCATTTTTCAACGGACCCTGAGCAAAGCTGAAGGGCTCCGACTCATGCATGTCGAGGGCTGCCCCTCGTATCGTGCCCTCCTTGAGGGCTTGTGCTAAGGCTTTCTCGTCCACCAGGCCACCACGGGCTGCGTTCACAAGGAATGCTCCCTGCCTCATCTGCTTTATGGTAAAGTCATTGATGAGGTGGTTGTTATGTTCGTTGACATTGCAGTGCAAGGGGACGCAGTCGCTCTGATACAGCAAATCCTGCAGGGTGTAGACCCTCTGCACGCCCAGGGACCGCTCGACCACATCCTGCAAGTAGGGGTCATAAAATATGACGCTGAATCCAAAGGCTTTGGCTCGAACTGCAATGCCTGCCCCGTGCAACCAAAGCCGTTGAGGCCCAGCGTCTCCCCACGGATGCGGGCCGCTCCCTAGGCCACCTCGCCCATCTGCTCCACGCTCTGAACCCGCGTGCCTTCCCACAGTGCCTGGTACAGCCACGTGTTCCTCCGGTAGAGATTGAGGATGTGGCAGAAAGCAATGTATAGAGTGCTCAACCAGAAATATGGATCACTGGTTTAAGAATCAGAAGATTTAGGTTATGTCAATCTGGCTGTCTCACTTAATCTATCAAAGGAATGGAGCAAGCGAATACAGTGTTTACTTCCAATGGAATAATGAGATTGTGGTCACAAAACGATCTTAAATATTGGACTATATTTACTATGTTTGATATTGCTGACCATTTTATTTCATGTTCGATCAGTTTAAGGTACTCCCACGAATAGGCATGGAGGTATGTGTGTTTTGGTGGATGCACACACTCAGCCTTGGTGCGCTATTACACTATCAAGTTTCCCTCTCCATCCATTCACTTACTCAGAGATTCGAAAGTGTAGAAAATTTATCCCAAAGGATTATGCCAAAGGCTGTGATACGAGCTCACAAATAAAATGAGGCTGGGCCTGATCTGTGCCCTTTTGGCACTAGGCAGCAGTTGCTTGTCATCCACCTTCACTTTAGTGTTTTCTTATTGATTGCATTTCTTTTCTGACTCTTTCCTCATAAGAAACCCAGAGAAAGAGAGAAGGGAAAGGGTAGGAGGTTGAAGTGTAGGGGAAGAAGGCCATTGTGACATTATTAAGGCCACAGCCAGCTCACATCACTTGCAGGCTGGTGGACAAGTGGTATGGAGAAGGCGCAACTGCCCTACCAAAGCCAGAACTCACAAGCCTGTTTTACTCCTGCGTATATAGCCATGTGCCAACTGAACATTGGAGAGTCTTGCCCAATTGCATATTTTTGGCTCAATTCTATTGGCTTAGGTGTTTGAGGAAGAAAGAGATCCCTTCATATGCAGGCTTATGTATGGAAAATGAGAAATCAGACAGCAGCAATGAAACTTACAAATTCAAGGAGACTTTTTCGTGAGTAAGATTCAGGATATTGAAGAGAATTCAATAAGTTCAGGATGGAAGAAATAAGTACATTCTTACACTTGTGTAAGAATGTGTCCTCATTACACTCAACAGTGTGTTCTCATTCAATATAAGAATAAAAGCTTAGATCTAGATTTAAAAAAATTATTTTTATCGTTTATGTTTATAATACAGAACTAGATATAACAGTTGAATTTATTGAATAAGTTTCTTCGCAAAATATCAGCATTGAAGATTCCATAAACAGTTCCACTTAAAGAAATGTTGTCCAGGGACTATAAATTGATACACAATAAACTTTCTTAAAGTCAATATGAAAATAGACATTAAAAGCCTTAAATTTTTTTTGCCCTGGACACAAATTCTGTTTCTAAAAAAGTATTCTAAAAAAATTAAGGTTGGTACAATGCGGGCTTTTTTATAATAGAAAAACATTTAAAGTCCCCAAACAGGAGAGTAGTTATGAAAATGATTTTCACTTCTACACAATGAAAATACATAGCTTAATCAATCATGTTATAAAAAATATTTATTGTGGTGGAAGAATGGTCAAAAATATTAACTTTGAAATAAATGGCCTATATAACTCTTTGAATAACATGTCAATTTTGTAAAACAGAAATGTGGAAACACCCATAAGGGCTAGGAAAGACATTCAGCAAAATGTAAAACTTATTTTTCTTTTCATGCCTTTTTATAGTTTCTAACTTTTTTCTTTGGATGCCTTCTTATGTGAATAAATATAATCACACAAATGCTACTAACAAAAGACTCATTAATGTGTAAAAGCCTGTCTGTCCAGGAGCCTGATGATTTGGTCAAACTCAGATGTGCTCCATGTGACATGTCGTTGGCATGGAGAGAGGTGCATTCAATGAACAGATGCTCACATGTCTCAGGCTTGCACTGCTTGGGCATTATGTATGTAAAATGATGGATTAGAATTGACTACAATCCTAGAGAAGAATGGTCCTCCTCAGGTTTGCAATCTTGCCTGTCACCCATTACCTGATGCTCACATATAACATAAACGGTCACAAACAATAAATCCATGAAATGAAAAGCACCACTACATTGCTGATAATGAGGAGAGGGTTCTGAGTTTAAATTGGCTATCCTAACTCTGTATTTCCTGATTCTGATGCAATTGAACCCTCAACTTTCTCATATTAAAATGGTTTACATAACATATTTCTAGATACGTACAGAAGCATACGATAAAACAATGTTTTATGGCTAAAGTAAGCAGCTGGATATCATTTTGTTTGATTAGTACAGAAGAGTGGAAGTTCAAACATAAACTGAAATGACTACCTCTTTGTTTAGCTATCATAGACTGTTTCTTTATCACAGTCATATGCAATCCATTGGAAAACGTGGAGGCAATAACAAACACAGCACCAAACTCTATTATCATAAGCATTGCTCCAATTCATAATCCCTATATGGCTATCTCTTTAGGATCAAGGTAAGAGGAACAGCTTCCTACAATCTACTTTCTGTTATATTGCACAGGGGTTGTTAAAGGCAGATTCAAAATAAGTATTCAAAGGCATACTCACGGACAAAAGTTCTCCATGTACTCTCACTTGGGCCATGAGGATGAATAATTTCAGACAAATCTGTATCTTCCCTCACCTTAATAAACGGCCCTTAAAGCTAGAGCTTACAAATGGCATGTATTTCTTGCATGTTGTCTTACATTTGGTTTGGAAATAATAAAGTAAATTCAACCCATTTAATGAAAAAGTTCAAAATAATAGAGTTTGGGTATAATTTTTTTTATGTAAAATGAAAGAAAAACATGTTTTTACAAAACAATTTTTATTCTTTTGTTACTTGAGAGAAATATTTTGCTACTGTTCATAGGACTACTTCTACTTTTGTGAAAATAGCCAGTCATGACAGAGTGCTTCCAATAAAGAAATTAAGAGAGTCAAATAAGAACCCTAATGAAATGGGGGAATGTTGAGATTTCAGACTTCTTTTCATCACATCTCTTGATTTCACACAATAAAAAAAACATGACTCTGTTCTAGTTAAATATCCTAGCATCAATTGTAAAATATTGGATAATGGCTGGTAAGGTAAAGTGTTATCAGATTACCAAACACTTGCCATGTGTGTTTGACTGACAATTTTCAGCAGGCGTACTGAAATATATTTTGCTTAGCAACTAATGTTAAGAAGAAAACTTTCTGAATATGTCATGGTTGTGAAAACAGGTACAGGGAATCTGGAAAAAATTTTACTCTGAAAGGACAACAAAAGTGGGCTTCAAATGAACAGCTTGAATGTAAAGTATGCTACTTCATCTATTAATAAAAGCAAACAAAATTTTATATTTCTAAACAGTTGTGTTGATCTCAACAAAAATAAATGTTGCCTTCAGTTATCAGGGATAACTTAATCAACTAATTGAGTTAGAATAATTTTTCTTTAAAGATTGTTATTTAAGTCTAAGAACACTTTTATTATCACTATAGCATTCTGTTCTATTTTGATTTTTCTGTACTAGTGATGGAGAAACTGGTTTCCAGCTTCATCCATTTCCCTGTAAAGGACATGAACTCATCCTTTTCTATGGCTGCATAGTATTCCATGGTGTATATGTGCCACATTTTCTTTATCCAGTCTATCATTGGTGGGCATTTCGGTTGGTTCCAAGTCTTTGCTGTTGTGAATAGTGCCACAATAAACATACATGTTCATGTGTCTTTACAGTAGAATTATTTATAATCCTTTGGGTATACACCCATTAATGAGATTGCTGGGTCAAATGGTATTTCTAGTTCTAGATCCTTGAGGAATCGCCACCCACACTGTCTTCCACAATGGTTGAACTAATTTACATTCCCACTACAGTGTAAAAGCGTTCCTATTTCTCCATATCCTCTCCTGCATCCGTTGTTTCCTGACTTTTTAATGATCACCATTCTAACTGGCATGAGAGGGTATCTCGTTGTGGTTTCGATTTGCATTTCTCTAATGATTAGTGATGATGAACTTTTTTTCACATTTGTTGGCCACATAAATGTCTTCTTTTGAGAAGTGTCTGTTCATAACCTTCACCCACTTTTTGATGAGATTTTTTTTCTTGTAAATTTGTTTAAGTTTCTGTAAAGTCTGGATATTAGCCCTTTGTCAGATGGAAAGATTGCAAAAATTTTCTCCCATTCTGTAGGTTGCCTGTTCACTCTGATGATAGTTTCTTTTGCTGTGCAGAAGCTCTTTAGTTTAATTAGATTCCATTTGTCAATTTTGGCTTTTGTTGCCATTGCTTTGGTGTTTTAGTCATGAAGTCTTTGCCCATGCCTATGTCCTGAATGGTATTCTCAGCAAACAAACACAGAACAGAAAACCAAACACCGCATGTTCTCACTCATAAGTGGGAGTTGAACAAAGAAAACACATGGACATGGGGAGGGGAAGATCACCTACTGGGGCCTGTCAAGGGGTGGGGTGCTAGGGGAGGGATAGCATTAGGAGAAATACTTAATGTAGATGACGGGTTGATGGGTGCAGCAAACCACCATGGCATATATATACCCATGTAACAAACCTGCACGTTCTGCACATGTATCCCAGAACTTAAAGTATAATAATAATAAAAAAAGACCCCCCCAAAAACTGGTTTGTATAATCTTTAGAAATCTTTATTCAAACATAAACTGCAGGAAAGAGTTACGAAAAATGGGAAGTCATTTTATCTTTTTCAGTCTTGCAGAAATTGTATTTTAGACTTTTTAATAAACACAACAAATAATGACCATATCCTTGAACTAACAAAACAGGTGAAACTGGCATTTTTCATGATAAACTCTAAGATGCACTCAAAACCCAAGTTAGGACAGTGACAGTGTAATTCCCAGGTGTCGGCTGGGAAAGGTTCCTGCAGCTAAGAATTAAGTTTATTTTTAAGCTTTTTTACCCAAATATACATTCTCAGGCCTAATTTTCACATCCATTCTTTTGCTTCTGATTGGCTCTGGCAACAATAGACTTTAATAAGAAAAAGGTTTTTTTTTGTTAAAACTATTTAAATTAAACCACAGTGTGGTACAGAAATATAAAAACCTAACTTTTTTGTTTGAAAAATACTAGAAAAATGTCTTTTTATCATTTAAACAACCTTGTAGATCAAGTGACTACATTTCAAGTTAATCACCAATGAATAAAAATGAACTGCAACTTTGAGGTTTTTTTCCCTGTTAGTTTCTACCTAATATTTTGCAGATTTTTTTCCCTAAAGTTATTCAGCTTTGACTCACATACAGTTATCAGCCTGGTACAGGAGCTCCCAAAGAATGATGCATTCATTTAGTGGCCTCTGTCTTCTTTCTAAGCAGCCTGAGAGGAACAATTGTTTAGTCTCTTTTCTATGCTATTCTTTGACTCAGTGGGAAGAAACTGGCCTCTGGACCTCTCTTCCTGGCCTGCCTCTTTCTAACCTTCCCAGTTCAGTGTGAGGAACACAAAGAGATTGATGAGCCTGGGGTACACCTTCCACTCAGCAGTGCACAGCTGGGAAGGAAGGCAGAAAAATTCTGCTCACAGACCACACAAAGTACTCCCCACCAGGCCACAGCTGTGACCAGCCAACAATTCTTCCCCTGACACCCAAGACCCATATTTCATAGTCTAAGAATAGATGAGCTTACACTGATAAAGAGTGTAGGAGGTTGACATGGCTACCCTCAGATGGCTGGGGCTCAGATGCATAAAGATGTCATGAGATCTGGTTTTAATTGAAATGCAAGCATTCACCACGTGGTATTTTATACACAGGGCCATTTTACCTTATATGGGTAACAGTATATATTTTGGCAATGTCACAAAACAAAACAAAACAAAACAAAACAAAACAAAACAAAACAAAACAGTGAGTATGAGTTGGAACAAAAACTTACCAGGATCTGTAGAAAAGAATATTCTAATAAAATATTATATAGAAACATGATATTCATATTTTTGACTATTATACAGATTTAACATGCCAGTGTAAAAAATTACTGTATGATTGATTGCTATTTTATCCATTTGTAGTGAGGTGATACTCCTAGAGCTAAATTTTCTTGTGATTGACAGGTTAACAACTGAGAAATTTCATTTTGGTAATTTTTATTACCTTTTGGCACTAGGATTTCTTCTTTGAGAAAGTCTGAATAGTAAAACAAAACTGCTACAATATTTTTATTATCATAGTACCACAAAGTAAACATTGAGAACTGACTCACCGTCCAACTGATGTAGAAAGATCAAAGAAGACTCATATTTTAACCTTAAGTGAAGGCTTGTGTGGAGATAAAAATTAGAACATCAGATCAATCCTAAAATACAACTTATTTAGTCTATTTCTCCCTTTCAAGGTTTAAAGTAGAAAGCTTTCATTGGCAAATTAGTCCAGATGTTGGCTTAGAATAAAATCCAACTTCCATTAGGAAATGATATTTGTTTTTAATTTCTAACAGATCTGTACCTTCTCTTGACAAAATGTGAGACCTTCATATTTGCAAATGTGCTGCTGGTGTATGGAGCAGTACTGAAACTTGACAGTTCTATTTTATGCAGCCTTTGTAGAAATGTTTTTTAGGTGGGCATATTGCAAGATAAAATGCAAATACAGTCAGGCTTTATTGTCGGTAGAGGAATAGTTGTGCCCTTGGATATAGCTAATTATTTCTGTGCCTTTGACAAGAGGAGAATTTATAGTTGAAGCAGGGTCCTTTCCTGTCCTGAACAGAACAAATCTCACTTTGCTGTGGCCACACACTTTGCCTAGACATAAAGTAGGCTACATAAACAGAGAAGGTAAAAGATATGACAAATAATTATCTTACTTATCTGCATATTGTTGACTAACTGTTGAGTAATTAAAAGCTGTGTTCAGTGATCACTGTGATCCAAGTCCAGATAAACTTGATATTCAGCTTCTGGGCGGTTGTGAGAACATGTTCTAGATCACTCTCACACCAGATGTTGGGTGCTTCTCTGAGAGCCTTCATTGTTGACTCAACAGAATTCAGGGCATCTTCAGAAACCCTGTGTTACCTGGATGACACTTGTCAATCTACACGAGGGTTGAGGGGAAGGGGGATAGATCTACAATTGCTATCCCCAAAGAATTAATTATAGCCAGGCGCGGTAGCTCATGCCTGTAATCCCAGTACTTTGGGAGGCCGAGGCGGGCGGATCATGAGGTCAGGAGTTCGAGAGTAGCCTGGCCAATATGATGAAACCCCATCTCTACTAAAAAATACAAAAATTAGCCGGGCATGGTGGTATGTGCCTGTAGTCCCAGCTACTTGGGAGGCTGAGGCAAGAGAATCACTGGAACCCGGGAGGTGGAGGTTGCAGTGAGCTGAGATCACGCCACTGCACTCCAGCCTGGGCGACAAAGTGAGACTACATCGCAAAAAAAAAAAAAAAAAAAAAAGAATTAATTATAAAATCTAAGTGTTCTTTAAACTTTGCCACTGATGTGATTTAGTTATAGTCGCTTTTGCCTCATTTGTCCAAGGAAGAGGCAAAAACAAAAACAAAAACAAAAAACCCTTAAGTGTAAGAAGCTATCACAGACTAGAGCAAAGAGGGTCACCTGGTGTAAAGAGGGCAGCAAAGCCCAGCTACAGCCAAACCATCTTCCCTCATGGTGAGTGTTACTCTTTGGGACAGTGCTCCTTGCCCCATTTATCCTCTGATAGCTCATAAACTTTAATACCATCTGCTTCCTCATACTCACCGTGCTCTTAGGTACCTGGATTTTGTTTCTGAAACCTGGTCCTCTTCAATGACTGGATTCTTTTCTTCAGAATTCACTCTCATAGTCATCAATTCTCTGGCCTCAACTCCCTTCTGATGACTAGACTTCATCCTGGAATTCTGCCACTGGATCCTTTTCTGACCACTTTCTCTTGCAAGATTCATTCCTCACTGTCTGCCACCTAATCTAGAACTCAAAATATGGAGGTTAGTGCCTCCACATGGAACTTTTATGCAGGTCCAGCTCTGGTCTGAGCCCTCAGTTGGGTGTTGACATCAGGTTTGAAACCTTGCATGGGTCACATTGATTCAACAAAAGGAATCTGAGTAGATGGGTTGGGCCTCCAGCTGTAGGCCATGCTGGGAAGCTGTGGCTCTGGTGCTCCTGTAGTTATGTGAGTGTGAGTGTATGAGTATGACAATGAAGGAGTGTGTAATAGGGAGAATGAGTGTGTATGACTATGGGCGTGTTAGAGTGTGTGTGAGTTAATGTGTGCAAGTAGGAAGTGAATACACCAAGAAAGCCTTTGCTGGCAGCAAAGTCTGAGAGAAGTGGTAGACCAGAAGGATCATTAGACTGGAAGATAAGTGACCCAGGTTCTATTCCTGCTTCTGTTACCACTGCACTGTGGGACTCAGAGCAAGCCATTTTCTGTTTCTTTGATCAGGATATGAAAGTCCTATAACTCAAGTTACTACAAAAAGTAATATAAAATCTCTGTCATGATTTCACTTAGTCTGCCTAACTGTATTTTAGAAGTTGAACAGAGAGCTGGCTATTTTAGAGTAGAACATAGAGAGGAGGCTAATGTTGAGAAACCCAAAGACAGGCTCAAGTCCCCTTGTCACACACTTTCTGGATTACTGTTAAAATAGTACAGGAATGGAGACTGAACAAATACTGGCCCCACCCTAGGTTAAAGGCGGACATCTATGGTGATCACGTGATGTCAAAAGGAACACAAACTCCCCAGTCTTCCTTTGTTGGCCCCTTGACCTGGAATGTCCCTCTCTTAAATTTTCCTGAAATGCAGACATAGGATTAAATCTATCTCCCTCTCTTCTTGATTTAAAAAGTGCTTCAACTCTTTAATAAAAAGAACGGGGTGAACAGGAGACATTCATGCCATCTTAATTTGAGAGTAAATGGAACATGGCCCTGAGTGGCCTCCATCAATTATAATGAAGAAAATAGGCTTGGCACACTTTTCTTCTTCCATTGACTGTATTGATGGCGTTTACAGACATCTAGATAGAAGGCAGATCCAAGAAACAACAAACATTAAGCAATCTTCTCTTTCTTGGCTGCTAAAAATAAATAGTAATTTAGCTGCAGTGCTGTCTGAAGACTCAAACCAAAACCAGAGGCAAATGTAAATGTCCCCTCTTTTAATAAGAAGTCATTAATAAGTTCATATGTCTCCATTCTAACTCAGGTTGGATAATGAGATGATCAATTTAAAGCAACTTAGATGAAAGAGAGAAGCAGATTTGTAAAGCAAATATACTGGAGGGTCATATCCTCCTGTCTCCATCATTTGAACCTTAGACCATTAAAGCAAGAAGGGATTCTCAAGATGAACAAGAATAAATATGAGGAAGACCTAGGAGACTGGGGCTCAAGGGGTTAAAATGACAGCTACAGGATCACCAGCAGTTTTGGGCTATGATATTCTGTCTCTCAGATTGAAGCCTTTGCCACTATTGTCTGTTGTTTGTGATGTCATTATGCTTTAGAAAAGTCAAACATTTTTCCCAGGGTTGAGTTTTTAAGTAGAAATTACTGTGGCATTTCAACATTCCTTTTAAAAAGTTCCTTCCTTGGTTTGACATCTACTGTCCTTGCAGGATTTCCCACCTGTCCCTCTCCTCTGGACCTCAGGCTTTCCCAACAACAAAAGTGTATAGCTCCTGCCTTCCTTTTCCTCAGAGAGTCCCCCTCCCTGAGCATCTTCAGTTTCTTTCTTGGTGTCTGGTTGTCCCCTTTTTTCTCTCCAGGCACATGGTAGCATCTCCAGTTCCTAAACTCTCCATGCACAGCTCAGTTGTCCTGATTTCCAGACAGTCATTTACATCTGTGGTTCCCAAAGTGTGACCCCCAAACCAGCAGCACCACACCACCTGGAAACTTGTTAGAAATTCAAATTCTCAGATCTCAGACCAGATCTACTGTACTGAAAACTCTGAGGATGAGGCCAGGTAGTCTGTTTTGGTAAGCCCTCCAGGTGATTCTAATCCCTGCTCTTGTCTGAGAACCACTGATCTACGTTATTTTCTGGTAGCATGAGCTCAAGCATGAGGGCTCTGTGTAGGACTCCTTGTGTTCAAATCCTACTTTCTGGCTGTGTACTTCGGGTAAATTACTTAACCTCTCTCTGCCTCATATTACCCATCTGTGAAATGAGGCTAAAAATAGACTTTGCCACAGAGATATATTGTTGTGAGGATACAGTGATAACAGTTATGTATGTAATGTACTTAGCACAGAGCAAAGCCTAGGAAATGCTAACAAATATTAGCGCTTGTTCTTTCATAAGATACTTCTGCTCACAGAATGTGAAATGTAAATCACTTTCCTTTCCCTATCATACCTTCATGAAACTTGTAAACAAATATTAATCAATAGTGATACCATGTTACTTAAGATGTAAATTGCATTCTGAATCAGGTTCTGATATTATCAGTTTCTATGAAATTACATTCATGTTTGCATGTTAATAGTTATATGAATATTTAATTTGAATACTTCAACAGCCAAAAAAAAATGATGACACAAAAATTCGAAAGAATCAACTTAGAGAAAGCCATTTTATTGGCACATAGGAGTAAACTCAGAAACAGGTTTACAAGTTTGTTCTTGTAGGAGCTGATACCTTTAAAGGAAAACACATATACACAATTTTTTTTGCTAATAATAAAGCACCCTGGTCTTTTTCGGTCTAGGGCAACTGTAAACTTGCCAGTGCAGAATGTCCTTGAGGTAAAAAAGCAAACTCAACTATTGGAGTGGGACTCCACAGGCAACTCTTCAAATATGAATATGCTTCATTTTTCTTTAAGTGATATAAATTCATATTAATTGATAATACTAAATATTCAGTCACAATTGCTGCTATACTTGCAATTATCAAAGAATGAGTTCATACTTCACATATAAAGTGATCCATATATATTTCAAAAAGTAAAGTTATAGAATTCCTTTAGTAGACCATTTATATATAAGATCTCCTCACCCAATGCACCCAATGCTACAATGTAGTTCTTTCCCTTCCATGCAAATTTCAATCCTTTAAAATATCATATATTATACTTTATTAAAAATCTAAATACATTATTACTCTCACAATGAAGAGAGCCATTAATTAGCAGAGAGCTTTCTAAGTAATACTCAAATTTTAAATTAGATATTATTTTCTAGAATGGTAATTGTCATTAATAGATACTACAATTTTAAAGTTCATGTTACCTGGAACATATGTACAGTGTATGGTCCTAGTGAAATGGCTCAGAACTGTAGCAAAAATAAGAAGCCTGCCCAGAAAGAAACTTTTTAAAAGACCGGGCAAAAACTTTATGTGCATAGCATTTTTTTTTTGTAAGTCAGTGGTAAAGTCCTCAGCTGTGAACATGCTGGACATAAGGTTATGCAATTGTGGTTAAGGAAATATGGTGGTTGTTAATTTAATTCATAGCTGACCCAATTTCCATTTATATAAAATATGCTTTGCAGCAGTCATCAGGAGACCACTTTGACTTTAGTTTAAATGGAATTTCCTAGCCTTTTATGATATTTCAAATTTTCACTAAAAGATAGAAGAATTTTATTGAACTGTATAAAACATATGGTTTAAACAGGGAGAAAAATGTGTAGGTAAAGTTTTACACTATTTCAACAAAGATTGATATGCAGCATTGTACGAGAAATTCTAGGACAAGTAAGTACACACAGTGGAGTGGAATCCATAGAAAAACAAGTCTAAAAATCAGACATGTGAATGGGAGTTGTTCCATTTGGAGGACATAATTATAAGCACAGTTCTATAAGCTTTTTCTAAGGCATTATAATTCTGGTCCTAAACCATGCTGTTTATTGCTAGGGAGGAGAACTGGAAATCAGAAATCCTCATTCTGGTCCCAGGACACTTAATAAGATGTCAACAATTCTCTTTGGCCTGGTATGCTTCAATGGGATTAATTGTTGTTAATTTTATTAGTAATCATCTTGGAATAAAGAATCTGTGTTTGAATTCCTATTGTGAAATCATTTCTTTTAAAAAATAACAGAAACCACTGTTAAGATTGAAACACAGAGGATAATGGAATCAAAAGAGCTAAAAGAGCTCTGCTATAAAAGAATAGATTTATAAAGACAAATAGTGCCAGACAGACTTGATAGCTTTTTCAATAGAATTAAAAACTTACTGAGCACAATGAATGTACCTTAACACACATATATTTATATTTTTGTAACCCATTTGATACAGTATCTCAATAAATCTTATTTGCCAACCTAATTAGCATTGGCTTTGCTGTGTGCTCTGTCACATGGACTGAGAACTGGCTGGAGGACAAATCCTAATGACGCAGGGCAATGTGTTGACTATAGGGTCAGCATGAGGTCTGGTTTTGTTTAATGTCTTTATTAACGATCAGGAAGAAAGAGCAAATAATCCTTGAATGAAATAATATTTTAATGACAGGCACATGGGCTGACTGGAGAGCACAATGAAGTAGAAATGTATAAACACCAGTTCCAGGGTTGCTACTGATTTGAAGGAGGCCAGTCACTTGATTTTTCTGGATCTGTTTCCCCATGTGGGAAATGGAGATAATGGCATTCTTGTGAGAAAGCAAAGATAAGATTTTATGATTTCAAATAAAAAGTGTAATAATGCCCCCTCTGATAATATTTGGCTCTTATCTACTGTTTACAATACTTGTTAGAAATCACTTTAATATGGCAGAACGTAGGGTAGGGTCGGTGTCAGAAAGGAGCAGAACAACATTGTCCAGGGACAACACATTTGGAGGACAAATGGCTAAACCACCCTGAAAAAGACTTTGCAAATAGATGAAGGCAGCTTAGTATAGGAAGCTGAATACCAAGAGAATCTTTTGTGGAAAACTAGATGGAAGAGTAAAGGATGATGTGGAAGAGGATAAAGCTGTCTTGCTGTGTTTGGGGATGGAGAAAGGACTCCAGGGAGACCTTCCTCATTTTACTACTTGTTTTTCTTCTGGTCTTCAGAAATTGTATACATGGAAGCTGTGTGTATACCAAAGTATTATTTAATTCTTGTTTAGTTTTTATATCAGAAATTTAAGTTGTTTAAATGAAAAGGTAAAAGCCAGTAGACTATTTCGGGTAAAGCCGTACAAGTGATGGTCTTGGTGGAGCCACTTCTAGCCTGATGTAGTTGCAGTGTTAATGACAGTTTTCTCAGTTTACACAGGGGCAACTGGCTGAGGTTCTGGTGCTCATTTACAGAAACAAAGCTAAAACTAATTTACAGACAGAATCTTTTTTTTTTTTTCCATTGAGAAATAGGATTACCAAACAGACTAGAATACTTGTGACAGCTGGAGAGCCTTTATCCTTTTTAGAAGGAAAGAATCTCAGGAACCAAATTAACATTAGAAGACAGCTTTTGCACTGTGAAGCAGGAAGCTCAAACTAACCTGATCCTAAGTATTTCCAGGGTGCTTATGACAAATATAGATCTGTGTCACAGCTCAGACCTATCAGAGAAGAACTTCCAAAAAAGCCAAAGTAATTGCAATGATCAGGCAAGTGTGAGAAATCTCAAGGTTGAGTAAAGGGAATTGGATTGTCTTAAGGGATAGTCTCATCAATCTACTGTGCAGCCGTAGCTAATAAAATGTATTCCTTCTAAGCTGATCCAGAATATTTATACTGACTTATGCAGAGAGGCTCCCCCCACACACCGTAGACCCAAAGATTGCATAGAAAATAGACTAGCTATTGTTTTTTTCATTTTTCTTACCAATTAGCAAAGGCTAAGGTTAGTACTTAAGAATCTCATTTTACAATTTCTAAGAGTACAGCTTATTTTTCATGAGTTATTTATTTTCAATTTACTTATAATTTTTATCCTGTTTGTTTCCAAAAACCAATTTGAGGATTACATTTCAAATTGCATTTCTAGTGAGGGTTGAGGAAAAGGAACTTTCTGAATTCCTGCTGTGACTAGAGGGGTCCCATCGACATTCTTACAGAATTGAGACTAAAATTCACCCTTCTCTCCTGTAAGACATTGTTCTTTATACGATGCCACAAACACCTTTTTTTTTTTTTGAAGACAGGTATAGCTATGCAAAATAAGGTACAAATTTGAGGAAACATTTCCTGTACATTTGCAGAATTGTAAAAATGGCAGAAATGTTAGAGAAGGAGTGAGTAGGCATTAGTGAGCAGGCATAAAGATATTCTCATACATCTTTATGTCCTATAGCCTCAGAGAAGAGCAAGGACCTCTGCCTGACTAGGAGTTACCTCTTTGCCAGGGCTGCAATCAGTTCAGCACAGTCCCTGTGCGTGGAAGGGACTATGAGGGTAGAAATTATTTTCTCATAATACACATTTTTGTTTCTACTTCTTTCAAAGTCAAGCCATCTGTCTTAGTGTTTTCATGCTCCTATAACAATATACCTGAGACTGGATAATTTATACAGAACAGAAATTTATTTTTCACAGTCTTCAAGGCTGAAAGTCCATGATCAAGGAGTGAGCAAATTCAGTGTCTAATGAGGGCCTGGTCTCCACTTCCAAGATGGTTCCTTGAATGCTGTGTCCTCACATGGCAAAAGTGACAGAAGAGCAAAAGGAGCCTAGCTAGTTCCCTCCAACCCTTTTATAAGGTTGCCAACCCCATTTATGAGGCCTCCACCCTCAAGATTTAATCACCTTCTAAAGTTCCTACCTCTTAATAAACACTATCACATCAGAATTTAAGTTTCAGTTTATGAATTTTGGGTTGACACATAATACTTTAAACAATAGCACCATCCTTTAATAAAATATACATTTCTTAAAAAATCTATTTAGAAAAAACACATGCTGAATATTTTCACCTTCCAATTTTAGTTCTCCTTTGCAGTGTGAATTGCTGGTAGCTTCTGAGTCTTAATTTCATCACCTCTAAAATGAAAATATTACACAGGATTTGTTGTAGAAAAAGGAGTTAATATGGTGCCTGGCACATGGTAGGTGCTAAATAAATGGGAACTATTATTATGATAGAAATAGTCTTATTTTTATTTAATATTTTTGTTTTTTCCCACAGTCCTAAGGTTTATATTTTCTTCCTCTCTCTCTCTCTCTTTTTTTTTTGTTTTTATATTTCGAAACAGGGTTTTGTTCTGTTGCTCAGGCTGGAATACAGTGGTGTGATCATGGCTCACTGCAGCCTCGACCTCCCAGGCTCAGTGATCCTCCCACCTCAGCCCCCTGCGTGTCAGGGACTATAGGCATGCACCACCACACCTGGCTAATTTTTGTATTTTTTGTAGCGATGGGGTTTCTTCATGTTGCCCAGGTTTGTCTTGAACTCCTGAGCTCAGGTGATGCACCCACCTTGGCCTCCCAAAGTCCTGGGACTACAGGCATGAGCCATCACACTCAACCTCCTTTCAAGTTTTAAAAAGTTTTGATTTATTTTGGTTACTCAAGTTTTTTGTGACTTAAAAAAAATCAAATGTGTTTAAGCTCTTTTTGTTTTAAAATTCTTGTGGTTATCTCATTAGGTTTTAGAATATTTTATTAATTTCCTTTGAAATGTCATTTTATTATTCTACTTTAATTTTTATTTTCCTTCATTTCCTCTTCTATTTATGTATGTATATATGCATGTATGAATTTATTTATTTTATAAATTTTTTTTAATAGAGGCTCACATGAAAGCAATGATGCAGGAGTGGTAAGAGATTATTCTTATCACAAAGGGGAGGTGGCAGCCTTTTCTACAGCTCACTCCCACTGTGCATAACAGAGCTTCTAGTATGTTTAAGAAAAGAAACACAATCTTCAGAGGCTTAGGACAGCCCTGAGATAATTCTCCCCATGATTAAAGTTTGCTTTATGCATAGGAAACATTTACTTCTACCACAACAGCATTGATATGGTTTGGCTCTGTGTCCCCACGCAAATCTCATCTTGAATTGTACTCCCATAATTCCCACGTATTGTGGGAGGGACCGAGTAGGAGATAATATGAATCATGGGGGCAGTTTCCCCCATACTGTTCTTGTGGTAGTGAATAAGTCTTATGAGATCTGATGGTTTTATCAGGGGTTTCTGCTTTTGCATCTTCCTCATTTTCTCTTGCCGCTGCCGTGTAAGAAGTGCCTTTTACATCCTGTCATGGTTCCAAGGCCTCCCCGGCCATATGGAACTGTAAATCTAATTAAACTTCTTTTTTTTCCCAGTCTCGGATATGTCTTTATCAGCAGCATGAAAACTGACTAACACAAGCATGGTCTCAAGACATTCATTAATCTTACCAGTATTTTTACTTTCTAGTGCTGTTTTTGCTTTTATTAATGCCAATTCCCAATGCCAGTAATTAAATACACACTTGTATAAACAATGTAAATAATTCATTTATGTTTTCTCATTTGTTGATTAAAAAGTAAAGAGTGTCCAATTCATTAATTTACCTACCTACAAAATTAACTACTGAATGCTTTGAATAGTTGAAGGTACAAGTTCCTGCACCACTGTGTCTATCATTTAATCAGATAGTATGTGTACCTACTAGCTGTACATGGTTAATTGTGCACTTGAGGTATGGCTAGTGTGACTGAGGAATTGAATTTTTAATTTTATTGAACTTTAACTACTTTAAATATTAACATTGAAGCATTGCAAAATAATTTTCCATTAAACAACTTTATGTAAAAGATGTCATTAACAATTTTTATAGATTACGTGTTACAGTGATAATATTTCAGACATATTAGGCTAAACTGAAATATATTACTAAAAGTAATTTCAGCTTTTTTCTTTTTACCACATTTTTTTCTGTTTCTGTGGTTTTATCTTTATTTCTGATGCAGTTGAGATACCACTATATATATATATATATATATATATATATATATATATATATATATATATATCCATACACACACACACACACACACACACACACATATACATACATACATATAAATTTGAAAATTAAGAGAAAACCTTTGTAGTGAAAAATCTGTTTGCAGTGGTAATATGCTTGCCTGAACATTTTGGGAGATATATGCTTATTCTTCTTTTTACCACGTTTTAATGTGGCTACTAGAAAATTACAAATGTGGCTTGCATTGTTTCAGTGAATAGCACTGATATAGGCTATCTTACATCTCTATCAAACAAAAGCAAGTAGAAAATAATACCAAAAGAACTTACAAAAAAGTATGACCTGTTAGAAAAGATGTTAGTAATGTACGAAAAAAAGTTAATCATGATTCAGAAAGACTCAGAAAAGAATCACTTAAGGATACCTCTTCCTTTGAGCCTGAAAGTTGGAGAATGTGTCTGTAGAGCAGGAGAAAAGCAATGCCCAAAATTCCAGAGGTGATCAAATGGGGTGACCTGGCTGAGAGACATTATCATTGAGACTTATCACATTGAGACTCATTTCACAAAATATAAGTTAGAAAGAGTTAAAGAATCTTGGTTCTTGTCTGAACTCCTATCCTGTGCAAAAAACTCTTCATTCAGTCAACCTTTAACACGTATTTACTGAATGCTTATTATATGTTCTAATCTGGATGTTGGAAAAACAGCAGCAAACAAGATCTACAAATTCTTACTCTTGTTAAGTTGTAGTTGGTAGACCCAGATGACAGGCAACTTATAAATAAATGAAGAAGAGCAAGGACAATATCAGATCCTGGTAGTACTAGGAAGAAAATAAAATGGTAAGAGCTCTAGAGAGATAGGGGATAAAGGAAGACACGCTCAGCTAATTGAGATAGGGTGGTCCAGGATGGCCTGATAGAGGAAATGGCATGGGAGCTGAAAACTAGAAAATAAGAAATCACCAACCACACCAAGATCTGGGACTGAAGCGTTCAGCAGATGAGCTGACTAATGACAAATGGAAAGGTCTTAGAAAGAATGAGCTGGGCATGTTACAGAATCAGAAAGACTACTGTGGCAGATGCATGAGACTGGGGATGTAGGCAGAAGCCAGATTACATCCAATTTTAGAAGCCAATACAATAAACACAACTCTGTATTTATTCTATGTGTTACAAAATCTGTTGAAGAGTTTGAACAAGGGTGTGATATGAACAGAGGTTTTGCTGCTCTGTCGGGAATAGATTGTAGTGGAGAAAACACTTCTCCAACATCCATGAACTGAAAGTCATGCCTCCCTCCTCTTCATTCCTATACAGCTTTAGCTGTACATCTCTAAGGACACTTTTTCTTCTACCTTGTATTCTGATTATTTAGTTCAAGTCTTACCTCCACTATCTGGGAAGAATTTAGTCTGATTCATCTTTGCTACTCCCATAGTCTTAGCATAGGGCCTTGGACATAATATGTCCTTTATAAATATTTATTTAATGAATAAGTCATGCAATGGAGATAATTCAGACTCTGCTTGAATACCTTCAATGAAAAAAAAGAGTATAGCTTCATAAAGCAACACATTCCATTGTTGGAAGGTTCTAGATGGTTAAAAGATGTTTAGAAATTTGATCTAAAATGGATAATTCTTTTTATTTTCACTTATTCATCTTTGTTCTTTTATTGTTCTGCAGAGGAATGGAGAAAATAATTAACTTCTTCTTCTACAAAATCATCTTTTGTTTGCTGACTGCTATTATTCACAAATGTTTCATCTTTGCCATTCCCAGTATTTTCAATTTTTTAGATGTGTTTTAAATTTACTAACCCTCCTCTGCACTCTCTTTGGTGTACAGTTTAGTTTATATTATAACTCCCTTAAAATATGGTGCCCCAAATTGACTGCAACAAATCACGTAGATCTGAAGAGTTAATATACATTGAGGCTAATTAACTTTTGTGGAGAGTCACATATGGATGGCTGCTAAAATGTTTATATTTTTAATAGCTTCATCAAAATATTGGTACATATTGAAATCAGATTATTAAGATGTCTCAACTAACTGTAAATGAATGGGTGGTTACTTATAACCCATTTCCCTGGGCTTGTTGGTGGTTCACTGAAATTGGTAGGCAAGAGTCAGGAACCATCTTATAGAGCCTTCTGATGGTGTGATTTGAGTTAAAGTTAATAATTAGGAATGCTAAATTGGTAATAGGCATTATCTTTCTAAACCACAGGTATGTATTTACTAGGGATCTTAATTTTCATTATCCTCTACTTCTCAACTAGGCTTTGTGAATTACCAGATATAAGATGGTGTAAACCAGAGGCAGAATAAAGCACAAAATAATATAGAAGTGCCTGGAGTTAGCCAAACTACAACGTATGAGGGCACAGTTCTGTACAAACAACCTTAATTTCGACACCAAACTGCAAGTTTGGGAGGGTTCCCCAAACCACCTCTGGTTCGGTAATTCAAAAGGGCTTGAAGAACTCACTAAAAATTGTCATAGTGATCATTATTGCTTGTTACAGGAAAGGATACAGATTAAAATTGACCAAAGAAAGATACACATAGTGCAGAGTCTGGGAGGATTCCAAATGTGAAGCTTCTGTTGTCCTCTCCTATGGAGTTTGGATGACTTATTCTCCTGGAATTGCTAGGGGGTCATATGCATAGAGTATTGCCAAACAGGGACACTCACATAAGCTTCAAAGTTTAGAGTTTTTATTGAGGCTTCACTACATAGATATGATTGATTGATTGCCCACACAGTAAAACTCAGTATCTAAGTTAACTGAGAATGTGTGACCTCAAGCCCCCAGCCTAAATCACATGGCTGGTCTTCCTGGCCTGGAGAGTCCCCACCCAAGCAAAGACACTTCTAACCAAGTATGACATAAGGTACCTCCCAGAAGCTGAGAGGAAAGGCCAGCCGTCTCTCATGGCAAGAACAAATTTCTTACTATACCAGTAGCAAACATTTTAGTTTATAATGTGAAAAACTTGAAATACCTGTACATTATTATTGAATTTTATTATTATAAAGTAGAATGCACAATTATAATGCCTTTTAAGAATAAAATACAAGGTATTAAAGACATTTCGAGGTAGGTTCCGGGGGCATCTCTGCTTGGAGTACTGTGGAACATTTTGTGAAACACAATCTTGGTCTAAAGCAGAGGTTGGCAAACAATGCCTGTGGACCAAATTCAGCCTTTGTCTGCTTTTGTAAATAAAGTTGTATTTATTATGAAGTACAGTCACACTCATTTTTTAATGTATCATCCATAGCTGTTTTTGATACAGTGGCAGAGTTCGGTAATTCTGGCAAGACCGTATGTCCCCAAGAAGTCCAAAATATTCACTATTGGGTCATTTTCTGTAAAGACAGAAAATATTCGCCAGCCCCTGGTATAATAGATTGTACAATGTAGAAAAGGTCTGGGGAGAAGGAGATTTTGTAGTAGAAGAAATCCATATGGAACAGAAAGTCCTTCATAGCAAATCTCACTGGTGTTAATTCCACTTGCCTTTAGAATTGGCCTGAGTCATAAAATCATGATGTTGGAGGTAATCATAAAGATCACCTCCCAGTTTATTTAGGAATCTCTTTCTTCAAACCCAGTGAAATGAAACATCTTTTGATTGTATATTTCAATTGATTGGTTGAGCAATATCTTAATAAAGGAGACAAAATGATTATTTATTTGTCTAAATGAAGCATAGCAATTAATATATTGCATGGCTCACTTATATTGACCCTAATAGTGAATATTACTTTATCCCTAGCTTCATCTAATTATCTTCTTTTTATTGTTTCTTTGCCCTGATAGCTTCCACTCTTTATAACAAATTTTCAATTTCTATTTTTGTAAGACATCTTGAATCTTTTTTGAAACAACTCACAATATGTTTTCAATAGGCCATGAGGCCCAAGAATATCTTAAGCTTTGCCTTTTTCTTGACAGAAGATGCATGCAGCATGATCCATTGCCCCTGGAAACTTCTAAATGGTCTAGAATCTTACTATTTCCTTCACCTGTCTGAGGAATAGCTCAGTATTGCTGATACAAAAAACAAGAATTATTAGCAGTGTGCTACCAGGAGTAACAATCAATTTGATATTATGTTTGTTAAATTTTTTTGATTGGCATGTTTTTGTTATGAATTATATTTTATTATGTTCTCATTGAGTAGATTCTGGAATGTAAAAATGCACATCACCCAAGTCAATATCTTTAGCCACATTTTATTAAAAAACAGATTCCTATATAAAATGAATAAAATTTTGACAGCAAAGTCAATATTCTCAGATATTTCTAATTCTTTTGTTCTACTCACATTTAAAAATAGCACCTGTTATTGAGAAGATATTCCAATAAAAAAAATTTTAAGGACAGGAGCGGTGGCTCATGCCTGTAATCCCAGCACTTTGGGAGGCCAAGATGGGCGGATCAACACACCAGCCTGACCAACATGGAGAAACCCCATCTCTACTAAAAATACAAAATTAGCCAGACATGTTGGCGCATGCCTGTAATCCCAGCTACCCGGGAAGGCTGAGGCAGGAGAATTGCTTGAACCCAGAAGGCAGAGGTTTCGTTGAGCCGAGATTGCGCCACTGCACTCCATCCTGGGCAATAAGAGTGAGATTCCGTCTCAAAAATAATAATAATAATAATTTTACATAGAAACACTGATTTGATCCCCTTGTACCTAGAACTAACTGAAGGTATACTTTTGTTTTTAAAGAAAAGTTATTCTCTCTGTGAAAATAAAATAAAATTATAAGCTTCTAGATAGATTGGAGTGGCCATGGCACACCAATGCTAGGAGTGGACCAAATATAAAACAACAACTAGAATGAATTAATCAAATATAAAAATAATTTATTAAAGGTTTATATCAGAGAACTGCTGAAGCAACAAGAACTAGAAGAGTTAATATTCCAGAAAAGGGAAAATCATGGAGAGGTAGTCCGACATTCTGCAGCTAACTTTTCCCTGGGTGCATATAATAATTCTTGGTGTAGGCAAGAAGATGAATACAATGGTTATAAACCAAACAGAAAAATCGGTATCAGAGAAAAGAGCAGGGCTTATGATGGACTCCAAAGAACAAAGTGAGAAAATTGGAGATTAAAGGAGAATGGGGCTGCTTCACCCTCAAATTATTTGCCAAATTTTGAAACTATGAAGTGATAGAGGCTAAAAACACAAGCAAAGAAATCTGAAAAGAAGAGCTGAATTTTTGTTAGTCTCAGACTGCTGAGGAGATAATGATTAGACTTTAGGACTTTCTAGGGAGAGGGGACACAGCAAATGTACCATGCTCTCAGATGAAACCCCTGGAGAACTTGTTGTATGAACAGAGGAAGATTGAGCCTTTTCAAAGCTGAAACCCAGCCTCAACTCAGTTCAGTCAATGCAAAGGTGACTATTATTAATTATAATCAAGAGAAAAAACAGAAAATGAAAATAGATCCAAACATGACCCAGATATTATAATTAATAAATGACTGTACAGTAACTGACTCACAGGTTGAAGAAATGGATGAAAAGAGATAAAACAGAAGAAAAGATTAAAAAACCTGCTTAGATAATTAAGCTCTACGAAAAGAATCAACTGGAAATTGTCAAACTGAAAAGTACAATGAGGAGAATTAATAACTCAGATGAATTTGGTAGCAGATTAGAAGAGTAGAAGATAGGATTGAGGAGCTACCTATAAGCTAAGAAAATACATAAGCTAAAACAAACAGAAAAAGAAGTGAAGTACACAAATAATCATTAGGTGCATATGGACCACAATTGAAAGTTCTAAAACACATGTATTCATTTGGAATGCTGAAAAGAGAAGAGAGAAAAGAAACAGAAGCAACATCAAAAGAGACAATTTCCTCCCCCACAAATTGATGAAAAACATTAACTCACAGATTCAAGAAGAGTTGTGAACCCCAAACAGGTCACAGAAATTAACTAGACACGTAGAAATAAAACTGCCAAAAACCAAAGAGAGGAAGAAAAGCAGCTTGAGAAAAAAGGCACTCGACCTTCAAAGGTGCAACAATATCAACAGGAACAGGGGAGAATGGAGTGACAACTTTAAAGTGCTGAAACAAACAAACAAACAAACACACTTCCAACTTAGAATTCTATCCCAAGAAAAATATAGTTAAAAAATATTTTTTAGAAAAATCAAACTTGAGAGAATGCCATAAGCAGCATGCCTTAAGATTAAAAATTAACAGAATTTCTTTATGCAGAAAGCAAGTGATCCCAGACAGAAACATGGAAATGAAGGGTATTTGCTAAATTTTGAACACAGAAAAAAAAGAATGGATGGATAATATAATTTAATATTGATTATATAAAATAATCTTTAGGATTTAAAAATGATGTACAATTAAAATGCATAAGAGTGGTAACAAAAAAATGGGAGGGGCAAATTTAAAGTGTTTTAAGATAACATTATCAGGAAAAATGTAGAAAAACATTTGTAATAGCCTGAAATCAGTCAGTGATACCTGACATATTTTATAGTGTAATCACTCAAATAATTTAAAAATAATGTTAAAATAATGAGCTGAAGAAGATATAATAATTGAAATATTCGATTGATCCAAAAGGTGGTGAGAAAAGAGAAGAAAGTGGTATATAAAACAGTTGGATTAAATGGAAACAAATAAGATAATATATATAAACTACTATATATAGTAGTAGTAATTTAATTACATGTAATTTCATTACCTATATAGTAATTTCATATAGTAATTTCATTACATGTAAATGGATTCAATGCTTCAAGTAAAAAACTGAGACTATCAAACTTAGTTGAAAAATAAAATTTAATGACTATATGCTTCTTATTTTTTTTTCTTTTATTATTATAGTTTAAGTTTTAGGGTACATGTGCACATTGTGCAGGTTAGTCACATATGTATACATGTGCCACACTGGTGCGCTGCACCCACTAACTTGTCATCTAGCATTAGGTATATCTCCCAGTGCTATCCCTCCCCCCTACCCCCACCCCACAACAGTCCCCAGAGTGTGATGTTCCCCTTCCTGTGTCCATGTGATCTCATTGTTCAATTCCCAACTATGAGTGAGAATATGCGGTGTTTGGTTTTTTGTTCTTGTGATAGTTTACTGAGAATGATGATTTCCAATTTCATCCATGTCCCTACAAAGGACATGAACTCATCATTTTTTATGGCTGCATAGTATTCCATGGTGTATATGTGCCACATTTTCTTAATCCAGTCTATCATTGTTGGACATTTGGGTTGGTTCCAAGTCTTTGCTATTGTGAATAGTGCCGCAATAAACATACGTGTGCATGTGTCTTTATAGCAGCATGATTTATAGTCCTTTGGGTATATACCCAGTAATGGGATGGCTGGGTCAAATGGTATTTCTAGTTCTAGATCCCTGAGGAATCGCCACACTGACTTCCACAATGGTTGAACTAGTTTACAGTCCCACCAACAGTGTAAAAGTGTTCCTATTTCTCCACATCCTCTCCAGCACCTGTTGTTTCCTGACTTTTGAATGATCGCCATTCTAACTGGTGTGAGATGATATCTCATTGTGGTTTTGATTTGCATTTCTCTGATGGCCAGTGATGACGAGCATTTTTTCATGTGTTTTTTGGCTGCATAAATGTCTTCTTTTGAGAAGTGTCTGTTCATGTCCTTTGCCCACTTTTTGATGGGGTTGTTTGTTTTTTTCTTGTAAATTTGTTTGAGTTCATTGTAGATTCTGGATATTAGCCCTTTGTCAGATGAGTAGGTTGCAAAAATTTTCTCCCATTTTGTAGGTTGCCTGTTCACTCTGATGGTAGTTTCTTTTGCTGTGCAGAGGCTCTTTAGTTTAATTAGATCCCATTTGTCAATTTTGTCTTTTGTTGCCATTGCTTTTGGTGTTTTAGACATGAAGTCCTTGCCCATGCCTATGTCCTGAATGGTAATGTCTAGGTTTTCTTCTAGGGTTTTTATGGTTTTAGGTCTAACGTTTAAGTCTTTAATCCATCTTGAATTAATTTTTGTATAAGGTGTAAGGAAGGGATCCAGTTTCAGCTTTCTACATATGGCTAGCCAGTTTTCCCAGCACCATTTATTAAATAGGGAATCCTTTCCCCATTGCTTGTTTTTCTCAGGTTTGTCAAAGATCAGATAGTTGTAGATATGCGGTGTTATCTCTGAGGGCTCTGTTCTGTTCCATTGATCTATATCTCTGTTTTGGTACCAGTACCATGCTGTTTTGGTTACTGTAGCCTTGTAGTATAGTTTGAAGTCAGGTAGCGTGATGCCTCCAGCTTTGTTCTTTTGGCTTAGGATTGCCTTGGCGATGCGGGCTCTTTTTTGGTTCCATATGAACTTTAAAGTAGTTTTTTCCAATTCTGTGAAGAAAGGCATTGGTAGCTTGATGGGGATGGCATTGAATCTGTAAATTACCTTGGGCAGTATGGCCATTTTCACGATATTGATTCTTCCTACCCATGAGCATGGAATGTTCTTCCATTTGTTTGTATCCTCTTTTATTTCCTTAGCAGTGGTTTGTAGTTCTCCTTGAAGAGGTCCTTCACATCCCTTGTAAGTTGGATTCCTAGGTATTTTATTCTCTTTGAAGCGATTGTGAATGGGAGTTCACTCATGATTTGGCTCTCTGTTTGTCTGTTGTTGGTGTATAAGAATGCTTGTGATTTTTGTACATTGATTTTGTATCCTGAGACTTTGCTGAAGTTGCTTATCAGCTTAAGGAGATTTTGGGCTGAGACAATGGGGTTTTCTAGATATACAATCATGTCATCTGCAAAGAGGGACAATTTGACTTCCTCTTTTCCTAATTGAATACCCTTTATTTCCTTCTCCTGCCTAATTGCCCTGGCCAGAACTTCCAACACTATGTTGAATAGGAGTGGTGAGAGAGGGCATCCCTGTCTTGTGCCAGTTTTCAAAGGTAATGCTTCCAGTTTTTGCCCATTCAGTATGATATTGGCTGTGGGTTTGTCATAGATAGCTCTTATTATTTTGAAATACATCCCATCAATACCTAATTTATTGGGAGTTTTTAGCATGAAGGGTTGTTGAATTTTGTCAAACGCCTTTTCTGCATCTATTGAGATAATCATGTGGTTTTTGTCTTTGGTTCTGTTTATATGCTGGATTACATTTATTGATTTGCATATATTGAACCAGCCCTGCATCCCAGGGATGAAGCCCACTTGATCATGGTGGATAAGCTTTTTGATGTGCTGCTGGATTCGGTTTGCCAGTATTTTATTGAGGATTTTTGCATCAATGTTCATCAAGGATATTGATCTAAAATTCTCTTTTTTGGTTGTGTCTCTGCCAGGCTTTGGTATCAGAATGACGCTGGCCTCATAAAATGAGTTAGGGAGGATTCCCTCTTTTTCTGTTGATTGGAATAGTTTCAGAAGGAATGGTACCAGTTCCTCCTTGTACCTCTGGTAGAATTTGGCTGTGAATCCATCTGGTCCTGGACTCTTTTTGGTTGGTAAGCTATTGATTATTGCCACAATTTCAGATACTGTTATTGGTCTATTCAGAGATTCAACTTCTTCCTGGTTTAGTCTTGGGAGAGTGTATGTGTCGAGGAATTTATCCATTTCTTCTAGATTTTCTAGTTTATTTGCATAGAGGTGTTTGTAGTATTCTCTGATGGTAGTTTGTATTTCTGTGGGATCGGTGGTGATATCCCCTTTATCATTTTTTATTGCATCTATTTGATTCTTCTCTCTTTTTTTGTTTATTAGTCTTGCTAGCGGTCTATCAATTTTGTTGATCCTTTCAAAAAACCAGCTCCTGGATTCATTAATTTTTTGAAGGGTTTTTTGTGTCTCTATTTCCTTCAGTTCTGCTCTGATTTTAGTTATTTCTTGCCTTCTGCTAGCTTTTGAATGTGTTTGCTCTTGCTTTTCCAGTTCTTTTAATTGTGATGTTAGGGTGTCAATTTTGGATCTTTCCTGCTTTCTCTTGTGGGCATTTAGTGCTATAAATTTCCCTCTACACACTGCTTTGAGTGTGTCCCAGAGCTTCTGGTATGTTGTGTCTTTGTTCTCGTTGGTTTCAAAGAACATCTTTATTTCTGCCTTCATTTCGTTATGTACCCAGTAGTCATTCAGGAGCAGGTTGTTCAGTTTCCATGTAGTTGAGCAGTTTTGAGTGAGATTCTTAATCCTGAGTTCTAGTTTGATTGCACTGTGGTCTGAGAGCTAGTTTGTTATAATTTCTCTTCTTTTACATTTGCTGAGGAGAGCTTTACTTCCAAGTATGTGGTCAATTTTGGAATAGGTGTGGTGTGGTGCTGAAAAAAATATATATTCTGTTGATTTGGGGTGGAGAGTTCTGTAGATGTCTATTAGGTCCACTTGGTGCAGAGCTGAATTCAGTTCCTGGGTATCCTTGTTGACTTTCTGTCTCATTGATCTGTCTAATGTTGACAGTGGGGTGTTAAAGTCTCCCATTGTTAATGTGTGGGAGTCTAAGTCTCTTTGTAGGTCACTCAGGACTTGCTTTATGAATCTGGGTGCTCCTGTATTGGGTGCATATATATTTAGGATAGTTAGCTCTTCTTGTTGAATTGGTCCCTTTATCATTATGTAATGGCCTTCTTTGTCTCTTTTGATCTTTGTTGGTTTAAAGTCTGTTTTATCAGAGACTAGGATTGCAACCCCTGCCTGTTTTTGTTTTCCATTGGCTTGGTAGATCTTCCTCCGTCCTTTTATTTTGAGCCTATGTATCTCTGCATGTGAGATGGGTTTCCTGAATACAGCACACTGATGGGTCTTGACTCTTTATCCAATTTGCCAGTCTGTGTCTTTTAATTGGAGCATTTAGTCCATTTACATTTAAAGTTAATATTGTTATGTGTGAATTTGATCCTGTCATTATGATGTTAGCTGGTGATTTTGCTCATTAGTTGATGCAGTTTCTTCCTAGTCTCGATGGTCTTTACATTTTGGCATGATTTTGCGGCAGCTGGTACCGGTTGTTCCTTTCCATGTTTAGCGCTTCCTTCAGGAGCTCTTTTAGGGCAGGCCTGGTGGTGACAAAATCTCTCAGCATTTGCTTGTCTATAAAGTATTTTATTTCTCCTTCACTTATGAAGCTTAGTTTGGCTGGATATGAAATTCTGGGTTGAAAATTCTTTTCTTTAAGAATGTTGAATATTAGCCCCCACTCTCTTCTGGCTTGTAGGGTTTCTGCCAAGAGATCCGCTGTTAGTCTGATGGGCTTCCCTTTGAGGGTAACCCGACCTTTCTCTCTGGCTGCCCTTAACATTTTTTCCTTCATTTCAACTTTGGTGAATCTGACAATTATGTGTCTTGGGGTTGCTCTTCTCGAGGAGTATCTTTGTGGTGTTCTCTGTATTTCCTGAATCTGAACGTTGGCCTGCCTTGCTAGATTGGGGAAGTTCTCCTGGATAATATCCTGCAGAGTGTTTTCCAACTTGATTCCATTCTCCCCGTCACTTTCAGGTACACCAATCAGACGTAAATTTGGTGTTTTTACATAGTCCCATATTTCTTGGAGGCTTTGCTCATTTCTTTTTATTCTTTTTTCTCTAAACTTCCCTTCTCACTTCATTTCATTCATTTCATCTTCCATTGCTGATACCCTTTCTTCCAGTTGATCACATCGGCTCCTGAGGCTTCTGCATTCTTCACGTAGTTCTCGAGCCTTGGTTTTCAGCTCCATCGGCTCCTTTAAGCACTTCTCTGTATTGGTTATTCTAGTTATACATTCTTCTAAATTTTTTTCAAAGTTTTCAATTTCTTTGCCTTTGGTTTGACTATCCTCCCGTAGCTCAGAGTAATTTGGTTGTCTGAAGCCTTCTTCTCTCAGCTCGTCATAGTCGTTCTCCGTCCAGCTTTGTTCCGTTGCTGGTGAGGAACTGCATTCTTTTGGAGGAGGAGAGGTGCTCTGCTTTTTAGAGTTTCCAGTTTTTCTGTTCTGTTTTTTCCCCATCTTTGTGGTTTTGTCTACTTTTGGTCTTTGATGATGGTGATGTACAGATGGGTTTTTGGTGTGGATGTCCTTTCTGTTTGTTAATTTTCCTTCTAACAGACAGGACCCTCAGCTGCAGGTCTGTTGGAGTACCCTGCCGTGTGAGGTGTCAGTGTGCCCCTGCTGCAGGGTGCCTCCCAGTTAGGCTGCTCGGGGGTTAGGGGTCAGGGGTCAGGGACCCAGTTGAGGAGGCAGTCTGCCCATTCTCAGATCTCCAGCTGTGTACTGGGAGAACCACTGCTCTCTTCAAAACTGTCAGACAGGGACATTTAAGTCTGCAGAGGTTACTGCTGTCTTTTTGTTTGTCTGTGCCCTGCCCCCAGAGGTGGAGCCTACAGAGGCAGGCAGGCCTCCTTGAGCTGTGTTGGGCTCCACCCAGTTCGAGCTTCCTGGCTGCTTTGTTTACCTATGCAAGCTTGGGCAATGGCGGGCGCCCCTCCCCCAGCCTCGCTGCAGCCTTGCAGTTTGATCTCAGACTGCTGTGCTAGCAATCAGTGAGACTCCGTGGGCGTAGGACCCTCCGAGCCCGGTGCAGGATATAATCTCGTGGTGCGCCGTTTTTTAAGTCCATCGGAAAAGCGCAGTATTTGGGTGGGAGTGACCCGATTTTCCAGGTACCGTCCGTCACCCCTTTCTTTGACTAGGAAAGGGAACTCCCTGACCCCTTGCGCTTCCCGAGTGAGGCAATGCCTCACCCTGCTTCGGCTCGTGCACGGTGCACGCACCCACTGACCTGCGCCCACTGTCTGGCACTCCCTAGTGAGATGAACCCAGTACCTCAGATGGAAATGCAGAAATCACCCATCTTCTGCGTCGCTCATGCTGGGAGCTGTAGACCGGAGCTGTTCCTATTCGGCCATCTTGGCTCCTCCTCTGACTATATGCTTCTTATATTTGAAAAACCATAAATATAAGGGACAGATTAACTTAAAAATAAAATAAAGGAAATACATGTACTTTGCAGTCATTGACAACAATGGAGTAGCTTTATTAATATAAGATAAACATTAATAGAAATGCATTTTTACAGATGAAATGGGACATTTACTATTGGCAAAAGGACCAAATAAGTTGAAAAGCATAAGGCTCTAAATCTCTATATGGTCAACATCATAGCACACACTGATAGAAATAAAGGGAAAAACAGAAAAATCCACAATTATATTAAGAGACTAAAGCAACTCTCTAAATACTTAAGACAAGCAAAAATAAAATCAATAAAGTTATAAAAAACCTGAAAAACCAATGAGCAAAATTGACTTTTTTGACATACATAGAAAACTGTATCAATAAGAACAGAAGAAAATTCCTTTTCAAACAAAAATATTACATTTACAAAAGAGTCTGAGGCAGGAGAATGGTGTGAACCCGGGAGGTGGAGCTTGCACTCCAGCTTGGGGGACAGAGTGAGACTCTGTCTCAAAAAAACCAAAAAGTTGACCACTTGACCATATGGTGAGTCAAAGCAAATATCAACAAATTTCAAAATACTGAAAGAATTAGAAATATGTAATTTTATTTTGGTGGAAATAACCTAGATATCAGTACAAAAAAATAAACTAGAAAATCCCAAACTGCTTGAAATTTAAGCCACATACTAATAAATAAACAAGAACTCAAAAAAGAAATGGTGGAAAGTAGGAGATATTTTAAGGTAAGTAATAACGAAGGTGCAACATTTTACAACAAATTATAATTCCATGAAAGAATGCTGATAAATCTCACAAGCATTATGATGAAAGAAGGCAGACACATACAAAAGTACACCTTGTTATTCCATTTATATAAAGATAAAACTTCATAAACAGGCTCAACTAACCTCTGACGTTAGAATTCAGAATGATTCTTTCCTGGAAAGAGGGTAGTGGGGGTGACTGGAAGAAGTTATGTGGTGGCTACTGGTGTACTAGTAACATTATCTCTCTTGATTTAGGTGCAGGATGTGCTTCTTTTGTAAAAATTTCGTCTATACATTTATAATTTGTGCATCTTAAAAACGTGTGTTTTACTTCAATTAAAAGTTTGCTTTAAAAAAAGCACAATCAACATCAAGGCTGTTAATGTAGTGTCATTGTATGCATTCTTATATTTAAATATCATCAATGTTTTTGGTTAGGTTTGAAGGAAAGGAGCTAAAAATGCCACAGCCAGTAGACGTTAGTCCTCAGATTAAAGAAATAATTGTTTCAATTGCTTCCCTAAATAGAGGCATATAATTCTGGATCCTCCCTCAAAAGCAGTTATTCGGGTTTTTTTTCTTCTTTTTTTGTACGGATAACCTCTGAAATATACCTTCATTGTCAAATAGAACAGATGCAAGTGTATATACTGAATTAGCATGATTTTCACTGAGACACAAATGTGAAAAACTCTTTTTGTTTCTATCACAAAACATTTAAAAATGTATTTCCTTAAACTTATACAAAGGAGATCTAAACAACTGATGAGAGAAACAATGTTACTATATCGAATTTAAGACTTGTTGATTACATAAAACTGACCATAAAGTAGAATACTGTTGTCATACTTCCAGCAAATATCTCACAATTGACTTTTACTGTCCTGTTATTTGCAGTGACATGGAAGGAACTAGAGGTCATTATGTTAAGTGAAATAAGCCAGGCACAGAAAGACTAATATTGCACATTCTCACACCTATGTGGGAGCTAAAGTAGGTAATTTCATGGAGGTGGAGGGTAAAATGCTGGCTACCAGAGGCTGGGAAAAGTGTGTGGGGGGTAGGCTGGGGGGGTATGAAGAGAAGTTGGTTAATGGGTACAAACATACAGTTAGATAGAAAGAGTAAGTTCTAATGTTTGATCGCACAGTAGGGTGACTACAGTTGTATATTTCAAAATAGTTGGAAAAGAAGCTCTGGAATAATCCAAGCACAAACAAATAATAATTGTTTGAGGTGATGGCTATTTCAGTTACCCTTATTTCATCAGTTTATGCATGTAGCAAAATATCACATGATCCCCACAAATATGTAGAATTATTATGTATCAATAAAATGAGTAATCTGTAAAAAATTAACTTTTACTTGAGATTAACAATATATCCTTTTTGGTTAGTTTTTTTCTAGCTTTATTGACATATAATTGACAAAAATTATATGTACTTAATGTATATAACATAATATTTTGATATACATACATTGTGAAATGATTGCCACATTCAAGCTAATTTACATGTCTATGACTTCACATAATTACCATTTGTGTACGTGTGTGTGGTGAGAACCTTTAAGATTGACTCTCAGAAAATTTCAAGTATACAATATAGTATTATTAACTGTATTCACCATCAGTACAGTATTGTTAAATATACTCAACTACCATTCTACTCTGTGTCATAGTTCTAGGTTTTTAGATTCCATACATAAGAGAGATTATGCAGCACTTGTCTTTTGTGTCTGGCTTATTTCACCTAGCATAATGTTATCCAAATTAATCCATGTTTGAAAAAATGACAGGATTATTCCTTTTTTTAAGGCTGAATGATATGTCATTGCATTCATATACCACATTTTTTTTAAATCCATTGATTTGTTGATAGACATTTAGGATAAATCTATATCTTGGTTATTGTCAACAATGCTGTAATAAACATGGGAGTGCAGATGTCTCTTCAAGATACTGATTTTGTTTCTTTTGGGCATATACCCAGAAGTGGAATTGCTGGATCATGGGTAGTTCTATTTTTAAGTTTTTGAGAAACCTCCCAACCACTTTTCATAATGGCTATACAAATTTACCTTACCACCAACAAAGTAAAAGCATTACCTCTTCTCCACATCCTCAACAATACTTAACATGTTTTGTCTTTTTGATAATAACCGTTCTAACAGGTTTGAGGTGATATCCTTTTGTGGTTTTCATTTTCGTTTCTCTGATAATTAGTGGTGTTGAGCAGTTTTTCATATACCTTCTGGCCATTAGGATGTCTTCTTTTGATAAATGTCTATTCAAGTCTTTTGCCTTTTCTAAAATTAGTTTATTTCTTTTCTGACTTTTGCGTTGTTTGATTTCCTAACGTATTTTTGTGTCTTCTTTTCAGAAATATCTATTCAGGTCTTTTGCTCATTTTAAAATAGATTTTTTTTCATTTCCAGCTTTTATTTTAAGTTCAGGGATACATGTGAAGGATGTAGAGATTTGTTACATAGGTAAACGTGCACTATGGTGGTTTGCTGCACAGATCATCCCATTACCCAGGAATTAAGCCCAGCATCCATTAGCTATTCTTCTTAATGCTCTCCCTCCTCCCACACCCTACACTCTGACAGGCCCCAGGATGTATTGTTCTCCCCTCATTTGCCCATATGTTCTCATCTTTCTTCTTCCATTTATGAGTGAGAACACATAGTATTTGGTTTTCTTTTCCTGCATTAGTTTGCTAAGGATAATGGCCTCCAGCTCTATCCATGTCCCTGCAAAGGACATTATCTTGTTCCTTTTTATGTTTGCATAGTATACCAATGTGAATATGTACCACATTTTCTTTACCCAGTCTAACATCGATGGGCATTTAGGTTGATTCCATGTCTTTTTTATAGTAAACAGTGCTGCAATGAACATACACATGCATGTATCTTTATAATATAAGAATTTATATTCCTTTGGGTATATATCCAGTAATGGAATTCCTGGGCCAAATGGTATTTCTGTTTTTAGGTCTTTAAGGAATCACCAAACTGTCTTGCACAAGGGTTGAACTAATTTACAACCCACCAACAGTGTATAAGTGTTCATTTTTCTCCACAACATCACCAACATCTGTTATTTTTTGACTTTTTATTCATTGCCATTCTGACTGTTGTTAGATGGTATCTCATTGTAGTTTTAATTTGCATTTCTCTAATGATCAGTGATGCTGAGCTTTTTTTTATATGTCTTTTGGCTCTGTGTATGTCTTCTTTTGAGAAGTGTCTGTTCATGTCTTTTGCCCACTTTTTAATGGGGTTGTTTGTTTTTTTTCCTTGTGAATTTCTTTTTATTCAATTTCCATGTAGTTGTATATTTTTGAGTGAATTTCTTAATCTTAAGTTCTAATTTGATTGTGCTGTGGTCTGAGAGGCTGTTTGTTATTTCAGTTCTTTTGCATTTCCTGAGGAGTGTTTTACTTCCCATTATGTTATCAATTTTAGTGTAGGTGCCATGTGATGATTAGAAGAATGTACATTCTGTTGTTTTTGGGTAGAGAGTTCTGTAGATATCTATCAGGTCCACTTGATGAAGGGCTGGATTTAGGTCCTGAATATCTTTGTTAATTTTCTTTCTTGATGAACTGTCTAATATTGTCAGTGTGGTGTTAAAATTTCTCACTATCATTGTGTGGGTGTCTAAGTCTCTTTGAAGATCTCTAAGAATTTGCTTTATAAATCTGGGTGCTCTTGTATTGAGTGCATATATATTTGGGATAGTTAGCTTTTCTTGTTGAATCAAACCCTTTACCATTATGTAATGCCCTTCTTTGTCTTTTTTGATCTTTGTTGGTTTAAAGTTTGTTTTGTCAGAAAGTAGGATGAGAACCCCTGCTTTTTTCTGTTTTCAATTTGCTTGGTAAATTTTCCTCCATCCCTTTATTTTGAGTCTATGTATGCCTTTGCACGTGAAATTGGTGTCTTGAAGACAGCATATCAATGAGTGTTAGTTCTTTATCCAGCTTGCCATTTAATTGGGGGCATTTAGCCCATTTACATTAAAGGTTAGTATTGTCATGTGATAATTTGATCCTGTCATCATGATGCTAGCTGGTTATTTTGCAGGCTTGTTGATTTACTTCCTTCATAGTGTCATTAGTCTTTGCTCTTTAGTGTGTTTTTGCAGTGGCTGGTAACAGTTTTTCCTTTCCATATTTAGTGCTTTCTTCAAGAGCTTTTGCAAGGCAGGCATGGTCGTGATGAATTCCCTCAGCATTTGCTTGTCTGAAAGGAATCTTATTTTTCCTTCACTTGTAAAGCCTAGTTTGGCTGGATATGAAACTGGGTTGGAAATTCTTTTCTTAAAGAATGTTGAATATTGGCTCTCTATCTCTTCTGGCTTATAGGGTTTCTGCTGAGAGGTCTGATGTTAGTCCAATGGCCTTTCTCTCTGGCTGACCTTAACATTTTTTCTTTCATTTTGACCTTGGAGAATCTGATGATTATGTGTCCTGGGGATAATTTTCTCATGCAGTATCTTACTGGAGTTTTCTGGATTTCCTGAGTTTGAATGTTGGCCTGTCTTGCTAGATTGGGGAAGCTCTCCTGGATGATATCCTGAAGTATGTTTTCCCAGTTGGTTTCCTTCTCCTGTCTCTTTCAGGTACCCCAATCAGTCATAAATTTGGTGTCTTTACATAATCCCATATTTCTCAGAGGTTTTGTTCATTCTTTTTCATTCTTTTTTCTCTATTCTTGCCTGCCTGTCTTATTTCAGAAAAATAGTCTTCCAGGTCTGAGATTCTTTCCTCCACCCTGTCTAGTCTGCTATTAATACTTGTGATTGCATTGTGAAGTTCTTGTAGTGTGTTTTTCAGCTCTATCAGGTTGGCCTTGTTCCTCTCTAAAATGACTATTTTGTCTGTCAGCTCCTGACTTCTTTTATCATGATTCTTAGCTCCTTTGCATTGGGTGACAACATGTTCCTTTAGCTGAGTGAAGTTTGTTTTTATCCATATTCTGAAGCTTACTTCTTTCATTTCAGCCATCTCAGCCTCGGCCCAGGCTTGAGCCCTTGCTGGAGTGTTGCAGTCATTTGGTGGAAAAGGGGAACTCTGGCTTTTTGAGTTTTCAGTGTTTTTCTGTTGATTTTTTTTCCTCATCTTTGTGGGCTTATCTGCCTTCAATCTTTGAGGGTGCTGACCTTTGGATGGGGTTTTTGTGAGTTTTTTGTTTTTGTTGTTTTCTGTTTTTCTTTTAACAGTTCCGCATGAATACATACAATTACTTGCCCATTAAAATAATTAATTTTTTAATTTAAAACGTTCTTATAAATTAGAAGGTTAAAAAAGAGCATATGCTTAATAAGGTATTGTTGACCTTTGCTGTTCCAGCATCTCAGTCAGTCTGGCCTGTGGGCCTTGGCGAGCCCAAACTGATCAGGGGCTAAAAGGATCCCCAACAGAGCACAGCTGCTCTACCAAAAGCCAGGGGTCTTGCTATGTTACCGAGGCTGGTCTTGAACTCCTGGCCTCAGGAACACAGCTGAGATCACAAATGAGAGCCACTGCCCCACAAGATTGACATTTTAGTTTCCACATATGAGTGAGATCATGTGAGATTTGTCTGACTAATATATTCCTAAGCAGGGCTTCTTAGACTGTAATAATTACATCCACATTTACTTGGTGATGCCAAATAGTGAGCTGTATCACTTAATGTAGCTGTAATAACTTCATCACTCTTTATCTAGTGAAATGACTATTTTATTTGATATCCCCTATTCTGTATTAAACCAATATGTGTCAATTAATTAATTTAATTTGTGATGATGTTTTTGTGCCATGCTGTATTTGGTGCTGAAGATAAAGTAAGAAATGACATAGACACAGCTCTATTCCTCATAAAAGTCACAATCTAGTCTGGGAGATACTCAAGCAATGTACATATATTGAGAAATAGGAAATTTTGTTCATTAAGTGAGTGTTACATCCCTACCCTCAGGTTTTTGCCCTCTCTTGTAGGTGAGAACTGTTATCCTCTCTCCATCTCTCTCTTTTAATATTTTTAAAGATAGGGTCTTGCTATATTGCCCAGGCTGACTCAAACTCCTGGGTTCAAGGGACACCCCCACCTTATCCTCCTGAGTAGCTGAACTATAGGTGCACACTACCATGCCTTGCTCTTGTTAAATAAAATATTCATAATTTCAAATCTCATGAAGGATTTCTCAAAAAACTAAAAATAGAATTAACATTCAACCCAGCAATGTCATTACTGGGTACATTCCTGAGGGAAAATAAATCATTCTACCATAAAGACACCTGCACTCATGTTTATCTCAGCACTATTCACCATAGCAAAAACTTGGAATCAATCCAGGTGCCCATCAATGGTGGATTGGATAAAGACAGTGTGGTACATATATACCACGGAATACTATGCAGTTGTAGAAATAACAAAATCCTGTCCTTTGCAGCAGCATGGATGCAGCTGGAGGCCATTATCCTAAGTGAATTAACACAGAAACAGAAAACCAAATACAGAATGTTCTTACTTCTGAGTGGGAACTAAATATTGAGTACACATGGACACAAAGATGGAAGCAATAGACATTGAGGATTTCAAAGGGGGACAGGGAGAGAAGGGGCCAAGGGTCTAAAAACTACCTATCAAGTACTATGTTAGTTACTTGGGCTACTTGATCATTAGAAGCCTAAACTCTAGCATCACACAATATACCTGTGTAACAAACCTGCACATATACCTCCTGAATCACAAAAAAAAAATAAAAAATAAAAATAAAAACCTCACTAAGGCTCTTACTGCGAGCAGAGTACTAGGATTTCTAGAAGGACTCCTAGTAAGCAGCGAATGTGGGCTATTGGTAATTAAATAAGCTCTGTTAAGTAGTTAATTGTTCTTTTAAAAATTGTATATTTACCTTTATCATAGTTTTCTATATGCATAGTTTAAAGGTGAATAGTTCTACATAGCTTGTTATGAAAAATGTTCCCCTGCCTATCTGTCTCCTGCACCGCACCATTCTTGCTTCCCTTTGGCAGCCATTTTCAATTATTATAGTTGTTTATTTTGTTTTTAATGTTCATATTTCTAAATAATATTCCCATATTGCTTTCTTCATTTAGGATATGTATTGATTTTTATTTTACTTTGGAAAATGAGGATTGAGCAATCTTACCCATTGTCTCCCTGACATATAACTTTCCTCATAATTTTTGGTGACATTAAATATTCAAGGATTATATTTCCATGATTATATAAATATAATACACTGATGGTATTATACTCTATAATTAGATTTTTTCCTAATAAGAAGGATTGTTTTCTAAGTCTTACTAATCTCTCTCTCCTTCTCATTTGCTTGGTTCTCTATGTTTCTACCCCATGGAAGGATAAATCTCCTTTCAGTCCATTCAAACGTTAAATTCGTCTTGGCAGAGTCACCTCTTTGGAGATGTGTGTCCTCTTGCTCCAATCTGAGCTGATTGCTCTTTGGTCTCCTGCATAGCTGTTCTCCTAAAATTCCTTTTCCCGTCATCCTTAGAATTTTTTACTTCTAACAGGTATTGGGTTTCTAGTTTTCTGGACCCCTCCTTCTTATTTTCGTAGGTTACCTTTTTAATTAGCTTCCTGAGAACTTGTGTGTGGGAGGTAAATTTCCTGAGATCAAGCCTGAAATGACAGTTTGGTTGGGTAGAATTCCAGATTAGAAAGCATTGCCACTCAGATTTTTAAAAGCATCCTCCCACTGTCTTTTCAGTTTTCATGTTATCCAGAAGTTTGATTTGCATTTTCATTACGTTCCTCGGATCCCTCAGCCTTTCCTGGTTTTCTTAGTCCAGACTCTGCAGCTCAATCCCTCCTAAGGATAAATCTTTAGTGTTCTGCTAGAATGGATGAATGCGGCAGTGGAGGGGATCTGGGGTCTAACTTCTTACATAGATTTCAATCATTCCTCCAGTTTTCAGTCTTCTCTTTCCCCTCACCCCCTGCAACCTTTTGCCTCTCATTCAGAGATAACTAGTGCAGCCTATTCCTCAACTGCTTTAGGACCATGCAGTGCAAGGAAACAGCTTGCTTCTGTGCCTTCTCTCTGCTGCTTAGGTCCAGTTTTCTCAGGCATGCAAACTCAAATTCAATTCTTCTTTCTGCTTTCCAGCTTTCAAAATTTCGTTCCTGCCCAGTCGTCTCCCATTCTCTTTAACCTTGTAGATTTTTGCATAAAATATATTTTAGTAAAGATTTGGTAGTCCAGAGGGGTAAAACAAGTAACTGAAAGTCAGCACTGGTTTTTACAGTAATAATTATATCCAATGATAATTTTGTATGAATCCAAATAATGTGCAGCTTAAATTATTTTCTATACTCAGAAAAAAGGCCTTTTCTGAGCATTTCTCCCCTGTAGTATTCTATCCCGAGTTTCTGTCCTTACCAGACAAATTAACCAGTTCTCATTGCAGGACATGAACGGAGCAAGTTGGTCATTCTGTGAACTTCTGTCAGCACTCCTGTGCACTTTGTCTTATTAGATGTCTTTGAACCATGCAGAATATTTCTTTTCACCTGATAGAAATATTGGGGCAGAAATTGGCAATGTTTCTTGCACAGCAGGGTAGCTATGGTCAATAATAATGTGTTGTATATTTTAAAATAATTAAGTAAGTTTCAAATATATTACCACAAAAAATGTCAAGTGAGGTGATGAATATGTTAATTAGCTTGATTTAATTGTATACAAGTATTAAACATTGTATACATTTAGTAAAACATCACATCATACCCCTAAGTGTAATACAATTATGATTTGTCAAATAAAAATAATATAAATTAAAAAATGGACAAAATCTCTGGTTAGGGATCATACAGAGAGTACCAGATGTGTGAAGGGAATCTACGCTGGGAAAATACTGCTTTAACTTATTTTGTTACCTGCTTTCTCTAGTTGGTAGACAAATGGACTTTCCTTTTTGTTGATTTGGCACACCTTTAGATTTATATACAGATTTTGTTTAGACAGTGAAATTATAACAACACTGTCGTTATAAGTAAATACACTCACTCCCAACAACATAATATTCTTTAGTACAAAATACACCCACGTGCAATTTTTAAAAATGTGATAGTTGTAATGGAGTAAAATATCTCCCATATGCAAGTTGACAAAAAAAGATAGAGGAAAATAGACTAGACTAACATTCTGTAAAGAAGTGTTTAAGTCTGTAATATCATGAGTTGTTAATTGAGGGAAGATAAGAAAGAGCCTGACTTTCAAATGCTTCCTTCATTACATTTGCCTTTATGGAAGACAGCTCGATTTTTTTCACATGAATACTTGCATAAACGTGAATAAATGAAAATTTTCCTAGTACAGTATCATATATGTTTGGCTACTGATATTACAATACCAATCGTTGCACAAAGTGGTTATCATGATTCATGTTTTGTTTTGCTGTCAGACATGTTCCACTGATTCTAAAAGGGAAATAGCCTGGAAACAACTGCAGAATATCCTATATATTATATGAATGCCACTAACAATGGTGAGAATGCAAAAGTAATTGAGTTGTGAAGACATGGTTCTTGCCTTTTATGGTCAATGTGTAAAACTTTGTAGGGCTTTGCCAGGTGAACATTAAGCCCATTATTGCACAAATTAAAAATAAGAATTTTCTTTCTGCCAGAACATGAGCACCTGCAAAGGCTCGAAAAAGGCTTTGTGTTGGTTATCAGCATGAGACCCTCTCTTCATGGAACAGCTGCCTGACACGCAGCCCAAACGTGGCTCTTTTGTGTTTTAAACAAGGTGGTGTCTCCACTGGAAGGGCTGGCACACAATAATGAAAATTTTGGCTTGGAGTTGCGCTGGCTAAATGATAGATCACTAGTGAAAAATAGAGCTACACAACCTGCTCTGTGTCACAAGCTCAGAAAATTGTGTTTGCAACACAGTTGACATCCAGCCTAGTTCTAATTTCAGCTTCAATGGAAAACATGACATTCAAGGCAGTTGTTTTTATTGACAAAATCAAGATTTTTCTCTGCTGCTGTCCTTTCTCTCCTGCACTTTTTCCTCCAATGATGCATTTGTTTCTTCCTCAGTGATCTATATTGTCACATGATCTACAATACTGCTTTCAGCGATATTTCTGTATAGGTAAAGTTTTATGTTGACTGTCTCAGGATGACAAGTTGGCTGCCATGGAATTGACGGCATTTAATTTAATGTCCAGAAAGACCTACTCTGATTGAGACGAATTTATGGAAAGGAGTTTCAAAACCTATCTTTTAATCTAGTGTGTTGAGCTCTCTTTTAAAGAAGCATAAATAAGTGCAGGACTTTATCATACTAATTTTGTTCATAATTTTTGATTTGTACTTTAGAAATATGGAGAGGATATCCTTCACTAAAAGACCAAGATATAGAGCTATTTTAAAGACAGCCTACTGGACCCTTTTTTCTCAAGCTTCTAATAATTGGTAGGGTTCATAAACACTCTATATACCGATCTTTAAAGTTTAAATTACATGTATTCTGACTCTAGGATAAAATACAGAATGCCTGGTTCAATTTGAATTTCACATGTGCAATGAATGTTTTTTAGTATAAGTATGTCCCAAGTGCTATATTTTAATCTTTGAAATCTATCAAACCTACTCTCTGACCCCATTTTAACAAAAGTATTTTGGGTGGCAATAGCTACAATACTTAATACTATAACTTAAGAAAGTTTCATATGTGTGATAAGACCTACTTAGTTTGCTTTTAAGACACATAAGAAACTACAGTTATTTATGTATCTTCGGAGAATATTTAAACTTTGGTTAGGTTTTTCATTTTGTTTGTCTTGCACTTTACTGCTTCAATCTACATTTTTTTTCCAGCACCTTGCACTAGTAGTTTATGAGGCCATCAAAAAGAAAAACAGGTGAGGTTGTTTATAGGCAATTTGGTCCAAGATCCAATTATTTAATATCTATAAATTAAATAATATATATATAAATATATGAAGTTACATAGTTGATGAAACCATGTTAGCATACACATTTTCCCACATAATAATAATAATAATAATAATAATAATAATAATAAACAGATTATTATTATTCTTACAGAGATGATAATCTTGGGTGCAGATTTTAGAACCATTGAGTCTGGGGTTTAATCTCAGTTCTAAAACATTGTAATGGTATAGAATTGGAGTAGTGTGACTTGACCTCTCTGAGCCTCTGTTTCATCTTCTGTCAAACAGAGATAGTAATGGTACTCACCTCATAGATTTGTTGTGAGTATTTGATATGTTACTGTATACAAACCTCGTAGAGCATTGCATTACATATAGTCAGTGCAATGTGAATGCTGTTACACTGATTATTTTGTTTTTGTTCTATGTGCAATTATTGTTTCAAGGTTTTTACAAATAATACCACCTTTAATCTTCATAGTAACCCTCTAATGTTAATTTTATTGATATATTTAAAAATGTAACATAAATTGCCTGATTAATGGAGCTACAATTCAAGCCCAATGCTTTTAATCCACAATCCACATATCCTGTTACCACCCCTAATACACACAAACACACACACCTCCATGATGTAGATGGTTTGTTCTGGGGGACATAGTCTATTAGCAGCCTAATTAAGCCTATACACTGAAGTGCATTTTATTATTATTATTTTTTGTTGATATGGGGTTTTGTTATGTTGCCCAGGCTGGTCTTGAACTCCTGGCCTCAAAGTGATCCTCCTGCCTCAGCCCCACAAAGTGTTGAGATTACCTGCTCATGGATAGGAAGAATCAATATCGTGAAAATGGCCATACTGCCCAAAGTAATTTATAGATTCAATGATATTCCCATTAAGCTACCTGACTTTCTTTGCAGAATTAGAAAAAAACTACTTTAAATTTCATATGGAACCAAAAAAGAACCCATATAGCCAAGACAATATAAATAACACCTCACTTCTACAACCATCTCATCTTTGAGAATCCTGACAAAAACAAGCAATGGGGAAAGGATTCCCTTTTTAATAAATGGTGCTGGAAAAACTGGCTAGCCATATGCAGAAAACAGAAACTGGACTCCTTCCTTACACCTTATACAAAAATTAACTCAAGTTGGATTAAAGACTTAAATGTAAAACCCAAAACCATAAAAAACATAGAAGAAAACCTAGGCAATACCACTCAGGACATAGACATGGGCAAAGACTTCATGACTAAAACACCAAAAGCAATGCAACAAAAGCCAAAATTGGCAAATGGGATTAATTAAATTAAACAGCTTCTGCACAGCAAAAGAAACTATCAACAGAGTGAACAGGCAACCTACAGAATGGGAGAAAATTTTTGCAATCTATCCATCTGACAAAGGTCTAATATCCAGAACCTACAAGGAACTTAATTTCACAAGACAAAAAAACCATCAGAAAGTGGGTAAAGGACATGAACAGACATTTCTCAAAAGAAGACATTTATGCGGCCAAGAAACATATGAAGAAAAGTTCATCATCACTTGTCATTAGAGAAATGCAAATCAAAACCACGATGAGATACCACCTCATGCTAGTCAGAATGGCGATTATTAAAAAGTCAAGAAACAATAGATGCTGGTGAGGCTGTGGAGAAATAGGAACACTTTTACATTCTTGGTAGGAATGTAAATTAATTCAACCATTTTGGAAGACAGTTTGGTGATTCCTCAAGGATCTAGAACCAGAAATATTATTTGACCCAGTGATCCCATTACTGGGTATATACCCAAAGGATTATAAGTCATTCTGCTATAAAGACACATGCACACGTATGTTTATTGCAGCAATAGCAAAGACATGGAACCAACCCAAATGCCCATCAATGATAGATTGAATAAAGTAAATGTGGCACATATTCACCATGAAATACTATGCAGCCATTAAAAGGAATGAGATCCTGTCCTTTGTATGGACATGGATGAAGCTGGAAGCTATCATTCTCAGCAAACTAACATGGGAACAGAAAACCAAACACCACATGTTATCACTGATAAGTGGGAGTTGAACAATGAGAACACATGGACACAGGGAGGGGAACAACACACACTGAGGCCTATAGGGGGTTGGGGGCCAAGGGGAGGGAGAATATTAGGAGAAATACCTAATGGATGCGGGGCTTAAAACCTAGATGATGGGTTGATAGGTGCAGCAAACCACCATGGCACATGCATACCTATGTAACAAACCTGCGCATTCTGTACATGTATCCCAGAACATAAAGTTAAATTAAAAAAAAAAAAAGAAAATGATGGTGTTATGGAATCTCTCAGGATTCTGACTTTCCACTAATATTAGGAAAGCATCAGCATTGCAGAATCTCATATTTACTGAGTGCTCAAAGTCATATGGGATGCACTGGGTTTTGCAGCATTTAGACATGGTCACCAGTCTTCAAAATATACTGTTTCTTGGGGAGACAAGGCAAACCACTAGAAAATTAGAACACTGTGAGTAGGTAATCTGTGAAGTGTTTGAAGACAGGCATCATTCAAATTGCGTCACAAATTGTAGCTCATAAAATGGGAGTATTTCACCTTGCAGTAGAGAGTAGAAGGTTCTCCTGGAGTCTGGAAAGTATAACAGTGACTACATGGAACAAGTTCATTGTTTTCAATAATGTCTAAAATATTGTTTTGTAAACATAATGCAATATCAAATGTAACAAATATTGTTTTCTCACTCTCTCATTTTATGGCTAAAGACTTTGATAGAAAAGAATAAAAATTATGTATAAATTCTACAATTTGGAATCTTACTATATTTTATCTCTAGTTTGCAGGCAACTTAGCAGTGATGAAATGGATTACCCCGGGAGAAATGGGAGCTCTCTAGAACGATGACCAGTCAAACCTCAGTGTGCATCAGCATCACCTGGAGGGTAGAATGCACAAAGCTGGCTGGGCTCCACCCCCAGAGTTTCTGATTTGCTGGGCCTGGAGCAGACCCAGTATGTGCCTTTTTAGTACATTCTTAGGCAATGCTGATGCTGCTTCTCCAAGGACCACACTTTGAGTACCACTGTCTTAGAATAGAGAAAGGAAGAGAATGAGAACAATGCTTAACTGAGTGTTCTCCTGACTTATTTCTGAAAAACAGTGAATAAAGGAAGAGAGACTACATATCCTATTTATGAAAAGAATTTATCACTCTTTTAAGGCAATATTAATAGTGCAGAGGACATTTAGAAATTTTATTAGGAAGTCATCGGCCAGAACTATGTCATCTGAGGATGTCATCTGCTGCTTGCATTTGCTTATTCTGAAGAAAGAAAGAATTTCATTTTTGCTTTACTTCTTTTCAACTCATTTTTTACTATACTTAGGTATTTTAAGGAAAAAGTATAGAAATTATGGTATTATATTCATAAATGCCTTACTATGTATCTGTAAAAAAGTAACATTTTCTTATAACCAAAATAGAATTATTATACCTAACAAAATTGACAATAATCACTGAATATCATCTAATACTTATTCCATATTCAAATTTCTTAAAATTTTCCCTAAAATGTTTCTTTCAGCTGGTTTGTTCATAGCAGAATCTAATTAGGACAATAAGTTGCATTTTTTTTGTATAATTTAAATCTTTTTTAGTTTAGAATAGTCCCGACTTCCTGAAAAGAGAGGGTCATTTGTCCTGAAAAATATTTCATTTTTCTGGATATGTCTTGCATCCTTCTGAAAAAGCTTGATTAGTTTATGGTCAATATTTTGGTAAGAGTACATACTAGCTGATCTTAGGTACTCCATATTGCATTATGTCAGGGAACATATAATATCTGGGTTTCCCACCATTCATATCACTATAACTGCGTATGTTAATGACTTCTTGATTGTCCACTATAATGTTGCATTTTCCCCTTGCGGCCAGGAAGTAGTCTATGTGGTGTTATCTTGGCACTACACAATGTCTGGTCCATCCATACCTTTTTACCCATGGTTTTAATACCATATGATACTTCCTGCCTAAGTCAATACTTTTATTAAAGTTTACAAAGTAATAACTTACTATTTCTGTCGTTCCTTCTACATATATTAGCTGGCATTCTTTTTAATATTAGAGTTGTTGCTCACAACTGAGGCTACTTGGTCATCTTTAAGATGTATTTTCTACTGGAAAGCTCAATATTTCCTGTAAGTTACCAGTATTAAAGGTAATTCATTTAACCAATGTCTCAAGTGTTGACAAATAAGATATTCCAGCTTTCTCTATTGGAGTATCATTAAGGACACATTGATTTTCACAGATTAAAAGTGGTTCAGTAGCCTACCACCATTATTTGAAAATGTATGCACAAGACAGGAGTAAGCTGTCAAGAAGCAATGAGCTGAAGATCAAAAAGACACTAATTATGACAGGGAACAGGTGACTGCACTTCGAAGAAAACTCAAGGCCTCAGATTTTCTCATTAGCCATTTCTTGTCAAAGCATTCAAGGAAGACATACCCAACAAGTGACGTACTGACAAGAGAGAAGACATAGCCCATTTGCTTTGTCATTCCATTCCAAGATGGCTTAATAAAGTCAATCCAGATTGGGGAAAGATGGCTACTAGTTTTCATTAATAGAAATAAAATGTGTATATCCATATACACATTTATATATGTACACATATTTGTGGATAATATATATTACAAATAAATATACAATATATATTACAAATACGTTTGTTATATATATTGCATATATATATAGATAATAAGACAGCTTTAAAGAGGGATATAATCTTTGTAATGTGTTTCACTTGAAGCCTATTTTGGGACTAGTGATGGTAGAAGACATGCTGTTCTTTATTGTATTTATAACCATGCTGAGCTTGCAAAGAGAAAACAGACTAAACTCATTAGATGAATGTAGCCAGGCAGTTAAATGTAAACATAAGGGAAATGATTTATATGGAAGTCTTCAGCATTTATTCTCTCTCCTGGAGTTTATTTGAAAACAAAATAAAACAAAGCAAAAACCCAGCACTACAGATTTAGAAACCATTTCCTTTTACCTCAAGTTGAAGTAAAAGTAAGTGCCAAATTATTTTGGTAAGGCCACGGGTGACAGTTACAGTCATAAGTTTTAACCATGTACGTCCAAATAGTTGAACTTCTGGCAGGTGTTTTAGATTCATCTGTTTTAGATGAATCTAAAGACTCACCTTTAAGTCTCAACCAAAGAAAGACAAAATGTCCTTGATTTCTGTGCTCTGATTATCTGAAGACTGTTTCCATGGTGGCTTTGTAGATAGGAAGGATAGTGTCCTCACTCCTCCCTATCCTCTTTGCTGGAGAGCCAGATACTACTCCTTGGAATGCCACACAGAGCTCTGGCTAAGATTTCATCAGCAAATGCCTTCAGCTTGGGCCACATGCACCTTTCCTAAGACCTTTTCTTCCAGACTTTGCCTGCTGTATTGATCTTAAACTCAAGTCACATGGACATCCTTTATCTCTGCTAGTATTCTCATGTCCATTCTCTTGTTCTTAAATGAGATACTTCTTTCTAGAAATAAGTACAAAAGTAACATCTTGAATTTTTTAGGATGCATTTTCTGAACATGTAAGATTTGTCAGTATAGAAAGCTGAGAGAAAATAGCATTTAATAGCATTTTCTTTATTGCAAAAGTAAAACAGTATAGATAACATTGCTTTTAAATACAGAGATAGTAAATACTTACTAGGTATGATAAGGAAATAGCTCTCTTCAATAATTAAATATGGTATCTATTTCCTACCAATTGTCTTATTTACACATCATGACTCTTCAAAGCAATTAAGTCTATAAACAAAGATGGAAGAATGTTTTTGCCATTGTAGGTAGGGTCTTCAATTTAACCTTTACCGCTTTCACTTTCAAATAATAACATAGCAGAGAATCCAAAATGCTTCCAAATCTCAGCTCATCTGTTATATAGGTCCTTCAAGTATTTATTTTATTCATATTTTAATGCTTATTTATTTATAACAAGAAGCTTATAATATTGAATAATTTTTTAATAATCCAGTTATTCATAGAGTTCCTTGTGAGATTCAGTCCTCTGTTTATCTTTCATCCAGGAGTCAAATTTGCCTTTGAAATAATTTATCTTTGGTTTAAAGACAAGAGAAAAAGAGAATACGAAACATTTGCGCCTTTGTGGATCCTTTGGGTGCAATAAACAGTGTAATTAAATTAGTAACTTGAAGAACCATGCAGTTGTTTTAAGAACAGTTTTTTTTTCAGGCCTATAAAAGTAAAAATGCAATCCCTAGTAAGGCTTCTGAAATCAATTAGTTGTATCTCACAGCCTATAAAGTCTTTCATTGGAGGTTTTGATATGTGAGTTATGTTGGCTTCAAAAGGGAACTTCTGCAGTGTGGGATGAAATATAATTTTAAGAATTTTAGTTCTGCTTCAGTTCAGTACCAGAGGGCAATCGTACTTAATGTTCTCTGCATTGGCAAAAGCCTTGGAATTTAGAGAGCCATGACTGTTAAAAATGAGAAAGTTTAATTGGGAGTTGAAGCTGTATAGAGTTTCTTGGGCAAAGGTTGTGATCTTACTGAATTCTTATTCCTTAATTAAAAAAAAGTTTCAATGTTTTCTAAATCTTGGGTAAAAGACAACATATTGTAAATGAAAGCACCACTTTTCTGATTGTATATGTATAGAAAATTTGAGATCATTTATGAGGTACTAGATATGGGGAAGAGTTATCAGTCATAGCATCTTCCAGAAACTTCTAGGGATTGTATGTGCCCTTTAAGTGTCTCCTAGAAAGTTCTGCTCACATTCCTGCAGAGACAAGGAAACCAGTTATACCTGTCATAAAAGACAACTGCATTGTCCTGATGCCTTGCTTACAACTCTCTCAAAAGACTCCCTTTGGCCCCTGACTTTCTTTGTACCCTAGGACCTGGGACACAGTGGGATATTTATTCACTTATTCTCCAAACTTAGGCTCATGCCTGGAGAAGCCAATCTCTGTTTTTTATAAACAGATGGTGCTATGCCCTGTATGTGGGGAGCATAGTTCAGAGAATCCAGCAGAGAAAATGTTATGAGCTTGGGATGTGAGGTCAGCCCAAGGTAGAGTAAGTCTGAGAATTATGGAATTCCAGGCTTAGGAAGGTCTTTTAGTTTAGGAATTTAACACTTCCCCTTTCTCCCACATTGACTCCCTTGTGTGGTTGTGCAGTCTATTTTGACTTCACATAGCTCTGTTATATTTTTGAAGTTATTGTAAAAAAAAAAAATCTCTGTATCTTCCTTTAGTGATTCTCCATTGGTCTTATTGGGAGAATTAGATGATCCTGAGGTGCTTTTAAGCTTTGATAGCCTGTGTTCCCATAACATTAAGGGTTCTAGCTTAGTGATATATCTCTTCAAGCCAGACTGGGTCTGTGGGGCCTCATGGTCTTGTGACATAGTAATTTATTCAACAGACATTTATGGAATGCCAGGTAGGTACAAGACACTGCTTTAGGTACTAGACAGACAGAAAGTAAACAAATAGAAAAAAATCCCTGCTTTCATAGAAGTTGTATTGTACTAGGAGAAGAAAAGACAGATGAAAAGCAAAGATTGAAAAAAAATGTATGGTCTGTTGAATGGTAACAAGTGCTATGAAAAAAACACTGGATAGGCAGGTTGCAACTTAAAATCTGGTAGTCAGGAAAGCCTCAGTGGGATGGGAACACTTCAATAATGTCCTGAAGGAGGTGGAAGTGAGGTGAGCTATGAAGATGTTTCAGGAAAGAGCATTCCAGCAAGAGGGTGCAGAAAGTGCCAAGACCCCGAGCCAGGGTATTTGAGGAGGAGCAAGGAGATGGGAAATAACAGAACCCAGATTGGGTAGGGTCTTATACAAGTAACTGTAATAATAACTTTGGCTTTTATTCGTATTAAGCTAGGGTGTCTTTGGATACTTTTGAACAGAGGAGAAAAACTCTTAGTTTTTCAAGGATGACCCTAGCTGCTGTGTTAAACGTAGATCACCAGGGGCTGTGGGCAGAAGCTGGGAGGCCATTAGGAGGAAGGTACAAAATTAGTAACATGGATGTGATGTCCTGTGTAATAAACAACACGGATGGGTTTAGAACAGTCTAGCAATAGTGGAGGTGGTGGGAATTATCCAGATTCTGAATATATTTTGAAGGTAGAGCAGATGTAATCAGCTGAAGGATTAGCTTTAGGATGTCAAAGGGCTCAAAGGTGTCTCCTGAGCAACTGGAAAGGTGGAATTGTGACTTACTGAGGTAGAGAGAGACCTAGATTGGAATGTCTGTTTGGGTGAGCAGCTTGAGCACTTTGTGTATACTCTGTGTACCACTCCTTCCCCCTTTATTCACTTATTAAATGGGATAAACTTATCTACTTCGTAGTTGATATAAAAATTAGAGATAATGTATTAAAAGCACTTGCCTGGTGCCTGATACTGGTGGGTACTCAACAATAAATAGAACACTTATCATTACTGTTCCTTGGGAACAAAAGTACAAGCCTTGATAGGCTTTCAGGTATTTCGAGAGAGTTCACATGCTTCCCTCAAGTCTTCTCAGATTGGTTTCCATAGTCTCTCCTCGTGGAAGCTGGCTGGCTCCTATGACTCTCCTTGGTGCTTTTATGTTTGCACCACTCTCCTGGTTTATAAAAGAAATGGATAAATTTATAAAAGGACTTTATATATTTTTCAATAGCAGGCTAAATGTTCAGAAATCCAGTGGTGAGCAGCCTGCATTTTCCCCCAAATAACAACTGTGCATAGAAAAGCTTCATTTTTGACTCAGTCATGTGAGTGTGAGACAAACATAAGTCAAGATAATGAGAAATTATTATTCACATCTATTTTCTTTTCATAAGTAATCCTTTATTATAGCCCAGTGCCATCATGCAATTTTTGTGGATCTAATCTTTAACACCTCTGAGTTTTAAAACCAATTCCCACTGGCTACAATTAGGATTACTTGTGGTTCTGAGCCTGGATGTGATCCCTGATGGTTGTGGATTACAAAAAGGCTGGTGACTGCTTTAGCTTTACTGGTCTCCCACTCCTATGAACTGAATATGTAGGCAAAAAATTCTGAAAAGGAACATTAGATGAACTTTATTTGGCTTGAAAACCATGTGTTGATAGCCAGATGGTTGAAGCAAAAGCCTGAATACAAAAGGAAATACAGGAGATCATAAAAAATCAGACTATGTTTGGTCCTCATTTTAAGTTGAAAATTAAGGAATGATACTAAATATTTTCTTAAAATTCTGTATAACACTACTACTTTATGTTCTATTTCCTTCCTTCTGGTACCCTCCCAAAGCCCAGTAAAAATAAAATAAAGTAAAAATAAATAATATTAACATTCCACCTGCCATGGCAGAGATTATAGCCTCTGAAATCTTTTCATGGTTAATCAAACCTCATGGGTCACACTGTACTCAGCAGACAACATGCCCCAAATTTTAAGCTCCATTTGCAAAGCAAACAAGAAATTAAAGTCAATATGTGGGGAAGACAACCTAGAGCATCTCTTTGATACGGGTTGGATTTTCAGCATCAACTATAATTTCTCAATGTTTTTTATCCAGAAGAAAACTTTACTAATTTATCTAAAACATTTAATGAACATCATAATTCATCAGAGTCAGCACAGTCCCCGGAATATAGTACATCTCCAACAGGTGCCATTTGTAATAGTAATAACAGTAGGTAGTATTTTCATTTTTTGTGTGTCTTCCCAGTGCAGTGCTATTCTATATTCATGGAGATTGGCCAGTCTATTAGGCCCCTCAAAATGCACAGCAACACTGACTTAACTTGTTAATAAACTGGAACTTCACACCTGCTCCCAGCTGTCCCCAAGAGGCTCTGTGAAATAGAAACACAGCTGAAATGGCCCAGGGATTGCTGGCTGATTTGAAAATCCTCAGCTTTCTTGTTGGTCACACATATATTCACACTCTCAAATGAAATATGTCTTTGTGCAAGAGCATAGAGGGGGAGTGAAAGTGGCAGCTTGGCTCACAGATGCTCATATGTTTTTCATCCTTCCCTTCACCCCTTTAATTTCTATTTAAATCTAGAAAGGCATTTGTTTGTGACTCTCTCTATATAGTGGTAGTGAAAGGCTGAGTGTGGACCCCACAATTTCAAGAGATTTTGGAGGCAACTTGGTAGTGAATACTACCTTTACACATCCAACCTATATATACTCAGGGTACATGCCCTGGTGCCTGTTTGCCAACTGACACAATTTCTCTTGGTACTGCTTTTCTGATGGGGTGGGTTAATGTTTATGTTCTTCACTAAGAATTCATCTCTCACAGCTCAGTATTTAAAATTTTTGTCTTACTAAGAACAGATATGTTTTAGTAGGAACAAGCCTTTAAAATAATATTCTGAAAACTTTTAAAAGAATCTAAAATAATATCCCAAAGTAATTCCTGGAAATTAAAAGAACAAAAACTAAATATTCTAGTTATTTTTTTTCCATTTTATGTTTTCTTATTTTATGGGAATATTGAAAATATATGTGTATAGAGGCACTGTGTCTATGTATGAACCTTTATTCTTCATGAAGTAGCTGGAACTCTTCATTAATTTTCATTTTATTTTCTTGCAATGATGACCACAAATCTCTTTCTCCCAGAAGAATGTAAGGTTCATGAGTAAGAAACTTGTCTATTCATTCTCTGCTATAGCTCCAGTGCCTACAAGAGCACATATTCAATACTGTATCAAAGATAGAGGAAACCTAGATCTTAGACACTCAACAAATACATGATAAAGAACAACTGTTTTCAAAGGATAATAGAGACAGGTGTGTAACAGCTCTTAAATTTAAATATACATTAAATGAAGAACTGGACATTTGTAAAAAGCTCAGATTCTTAGTAGATCCTCAGAGATTTTGGCTGTCAGTCTGGGGTAGAGCCCAGGAATGTGCATTTTATCTAGCAGCCTTTTACATCACCCCCAATACTGCCTTTTCACAAATGAGGCTGAGGCAAGTGGTCTGTTTAACAGCACTTTGAGAAACACTGCCCTAGCATCTGCTTTTTATTTATATGTACTGAGTAACTAATAGACTGAACTTAGTGACTTTTGTTCCACTTTGTGCTAACTTTCCTCACCAGAAGTACATTAATGGAAGGCATTTTAGGTTCACCTCTTTACCCTTTAGTATAGAAACACAAGGGTTGAGCCACCAATTAGAAAAAAAACCAAACCAAACAAACAAACAAAAAAAAACAGCCTTCTACTTATCCACAGAAGATTAAGAGTTGGAATTGACTGACAGCAGGAAATGGGACCAGGATACAATATGATTGTCCAGGTTGGGAAGAGAAAGAGAATGAGCGAATCTGTCTGCGAACAGAAAAGAGAGAGAGGAAGTGAGACTTGAATTAAGAGCAGAAGGGGGCAAAAATTTATGGAAACATACCCAGTCTATGTCCTAAGACAGGCCATCAGGAGGTCCAGTGACAGCAACCAGGAAAGGAGAAGCCACCAGCTTAGGGACTTCGGGTGAATGCCAAGGAGTGAAGCTGTGCCTTGAATTTAGGATGTTATGCCTAGGATTTAGCCAGGAAGGTTCTGGCATCCCCAAGGAATTGGAAATAAGGGAAATGGCTGGGCTAGCCTGAGTATGAAATAGGTTGGAATTAAAACACAGATTTGTCCACTGTAATTTGCCAAGTTGGACTCTGTAACTAAAATGGGTAGTTATAAGCAATCTTCTTGTGTGTACTTTAGGCTCTGAAATATTTTACCCTCTAGAAGAGAAGAGCTTTTATTTTAATTATTTTATTTTTATTTTTAAATGGCTGGCTGACACAAAAGAAAGTATGAACCAGGAGCATGGAGGTGAGACTGGTTGAAAGGTTGCCTTATAAAAATAAATAAATCTCCTTTGAGCTTGGAAGTACCCTGATAAGTAGTGAACAGGAAAATTTTGTGTGTGTGCTTCAGGTTGTTTAGCACATAGCTCTCAAGAAGTGCTAACTGAGCATCTGAATGGATGATTGAAGACTTCAGGATACTCTTGCCCAAAAGCAGCACACGAATATACAAGACTGGTTTTCAAAATATACTTGTATTAAATAGTCTAGATGATTCTGGAAACTAGCTATGTGAAATTGGATAAGACATTAAACTGCTCTGTATATCCTTTTGCTTTTCTTTTCTCATTTTAGAGAAAAATATATTGCCTTTTTAATGGGTAGAAGTAAACACATTCATACCAAAATCACAGGGATGCATTCTAGCTCTAGTTCAATGTTCAGAAAAGTTATAAATATATATCAAAAGCACTTGTTAATAGAGCATCTATTTCACAGTATAAGGCATGATAGGTGAGATTTCCTGCTCCTCAAGGGCTTGCATTCAAGATAGACTCCAAATCTTGTTGTGGCTTGACTCTAGAATCAACAATATTTTGTGTAATCTAGAATATTTTGTGTAATATTCTGATTGAGAGAAAAGAGAAAATATCTTGGACTAGATTATAAGTAAGAAATTATCGAAATGCATGGAACGAATGAGCATGTTCCCACGGGGCACATGTATGGGAACAGCAAATATAAGGAATACTAGGTCAAGCAAATACAAAATAATCCCCTATACAAGTCTATGTCTGTGTGGCTTGAGCATTGAAAACAGCTATTAGTATCCTTGAGGAGGTTAAATACATTCAGCACCCCCTATTTCCTTTGCTATGTGTTTAAGTAGACTCTCTCTCCATTTATGGTGGAAACGCTCAGTATTCTCTGCCAGGTACTGTGCTAATCGGGAACAGAAGATAAGTTAGACAGGACGCCCCCTTCCAGGAGTTCAAATGTAGAGAGCTATGTTATGGGGTACAAAGCTCAAGGGGCCTTACAGATAAGATTGTATGAGAGCTCACAGGGAGGTTATGTCACATCTGGCTAGGGAAGTCAAGAATGGCTTTGTGGAAAAGGTGTGGGATTTGAGCTGGACCTGAGGATAGATGGAATTGGACAATCAGAATTTGGAGAGCTGGGATGAATTCTAGAAAGAGATTCTAGAAAGATTGAAGTCAATGAAACAGAAGGTAGCAGGTCATATTTTGTGCTGACCAATGACTAACTTGTTTGCTTAGACTAAATAGATTTGAGAAATGGCACAGTTGGAAAGGGAAGTGGAGAAGATATTTGAATAAACAAACAGAGAAACAACATTCGATTACTTAGTGTAGACACTTGAGGAGCCGCAGAATAAGGGGAAGGAACATGCTAAAGAGAATTTGGTAAAAGAATCGCCTAACCTTTCTCTGTAGAGTGGGAATTGAAAACTAAACTGTCTAAGAGGGTCTGGCAAGCAATGTAGATGAGTAAACTGAGCTAGGTATAAGAAAAATAGCAACTTGAGATGCTCAATACCAGCAGACCTATGGCCTGTGCAGCAGCAAAGTGATAAGAACTGGGCTTACACGTGGTCAAGCAGAAGAAACATATGACTTTGGAAGAGGGCAGCTGCTGTGCAGCTCCAGCCACTTGTTACCTTGTGAAAACTGAGGCTCAATGTGGCCAAATATTCAAGAGAAACTGTGAGTTTATATTTTATGTTGGCAACAAATTCAAATTAAAAAAATAAGTAGACTTCAGCATTGTGTGGGCCAAACAAAATAGGTCTGCAGGCGGTCCGTTTGAGACCTCTGATGATTGCTTAGGAGTCCTTAAAGAAAGGCAGAATAGGGAAAGGGCTCACATTTTAAAAGAAATGAAAGCACAGTATTGCCAGACATAGCAAAGATTCATGTGGAAAATCCACAGCTTGTTTGGTTATTTGTTCAGTGTCTGTCTCAGCAGACTGTAAACACCTGGAGAGTGGAGACCCTCCCTGTTTTGCTCCCCAGCTCCTAGCATGGTGCCTAACATAACATGGACGTGCAATAAGTACTTATTGAATGAACATTATTCTTAGAAATTTACTCTTGAGGCTAATAAGAAATGCCATATTCAGCTTTTTTTTTCTTACTTTGAATGAGGGAGGAACATATTGATGTGTAATTATATTAATGACATAATTTTATCACATCCATATGTCCTTACTATACATCACTTTTTTGTTTTAGCAGAATCCTTTTACATACATTATCATAAAATCTGCAGTTTATAGCCTAAACTATGTGGAATCTATGAACTAATTGTGATCATGATGCTTCACTAATCAAAATGCTTCAATGACTTCCCCTAGCCTGCTAAATAAAGTCTGAATTCAACATGTTCCAAAATTACTTCTATGATCTGGCTCTTGAGTGTTTCCTCAGATCTATCTTTTTTCTGTTTTCTAGTCTTGGAATAAGTTAGCGGATGTGTGACTCTTGGTTGCTGGGAGCTGTTTCAGAGAAGAATTCCTAGGGGACACCTGTTCCTAATTGATAGTGGTCACAGAAAGACACCTGAGACTAATATATAAGGCATGCTACCAGGCTCATGGTAGGGTATAAAGCTACCAACCTCAGATATGTATGTTTTGTTGCTATTCTAAAACTGAGTTGTACTTAGTTGCTGTGTAGGTGCAGGACCTGATAAATAAAGACATAAATTATTGTTTAAAAGTTTGTTAATACTCAGAGTTTGCTTGGTTAAATACCTTTGTCTGGTTTTGTGGTTAAATATTCTGCTTGTGAATGCTGTGGGCAGTATTCACATAATGGTGAGGATTGCTACAAACTTTGTAGGAGAAAACTTTTTTTTTATTTTCTAGATTTTTTTTCCCATTTTATTCTATGTGTTAGGATAGTGTTTCTTGATGTGTGGACTAAAGAACAGTTACATTAGAATAACCTAGCATGTTTGTTAAAAACAGATTTCTGGAGTATACCATAGTATATTGAATATAAATCTCTTGGGGAAGATGCTGAAGATTCTGCATTTTTATAAAGTTTCCCAAGTAGTTCTGACGCATATCAAATTTAAGAATCAATCTTTGTGGGCATGTGGTCAGCCTAGCAATGACATTATTTATTATCAGTGGGTGGTCCCTCTCTCTTGCTTTCCCTGTGCTAGCGAGGAGCCAGTTTTACAAAAATGCTACCTCCTGAAAGTTTGGCTGGAGAATATCTGTACAAACACCTGCATACCAGATGCGCACATCTGTACAGCTTATGCTGCTGATCTAGCTTCAGCACATGTCACGCACCACTTCCTTAATTCAGAGTGAGTTGAAAGGATGATGAGGATTTCACATTGAAGTCTTGAGCACATGAGTCATTTTCCCTTTTTTTTGTTCTTCCCTTTTTTCTTTTCTACTTACCTTGATTTGCAGTAATTTTCTTTTTCATGATCAAAAATGGCAGGGGTATTGAAACCCATGAGTAAACAACTCATCTAACTAAAGGCATTGCTTTGTGAGTGCTGGACACTTCATATAGCAAGCCACAAGAAGATGGTATTGCTATTTTCAGGGATAGTTAGACCTTTTTGGTTTTTTAAAAAAAATGAATTCAGCTTTCTATTAAAACCATTTAACAATTTAAGGTTTATCAGCTTCTGAATAAAAGTATGCATACGAATATGCATAAGAGTATGCACAAAAGTATGCACAGCTGCACAAAAATAAGATCTGAAGATAAAAGAATTGTATTTATTTTCCCTTTTATTTTATTTTTTTTCTAGTGCAAGTGACCTAAGTATTAAAAAGATGGTTAATTTCAACCATCAAAAGAATATACCAGAAAAAGTTCATATGGATCATCCAGCCAAACAAGCATGAAATAGATCTAGTTTTCCTTTCTTTTTTTTTTTTTTCCAATGGTACTTTCCTTTCTTATATTCTTTTTTCCACTACTAGATCTAGAGGAAGGTATATTGAGTTTCAGGATAGAAGGAAATAGTAACAGTCTATTGCTGGAATCAAAGGGAGCCAGGAAGCCTGTTATCATGGGTCAGAAGTCACAGATGAGTTAAAGGGAGGAGAGCTGGGTGCATGTTGTTTAGCTGTAAAGGAAAGGTTGCTGGCTGTTTTAAAGAAGGAGGAAATAAGAATTTCCAAACGATTTTTTAAAAGGACAATCACAAAACATTCCAATAATAATGAATTGTTGAAACAGCATATATATATGAGAGAGAGAGAGAGACAGGGATATATAGATGGAGCTTTTCTTATGCCATTCAAGGCTCTCTACTAAGTGCTTTGCACTAGCTCCTTCAACTTCATAAAAACCCTACAAGGCAGGGTTCCCCCATTTTACAGATGAGTAAACTGAGGCTTATAAAGGTTAATTAACTTGTCCAAGGTTACACAGAGTCAGAGCTCAGGTAGTCTGGCTCCAGACTTCTTGCTTTTCACCACTACCTTGTAAATGCTGGAAAAGGCAGTGCAGAGAAGCATTAGTTGTTAGATATTAGCGAATTCTGCTAAAGAAAAGAGGACCTGGAAACATTCTAATGAGAAGGAAGTTTAACGCTAGTATGGATTGACCAATCTGGATTGGCAAACAGAAAAGAAAAGCTCCCTATTTTACCATTATATGGTTAAATCTGCCCTTTGCTAGAAAGGGTGGTATTAGGAAAAAGCAAGAGCAGTCAACTTGTTTGTGTGAAATCTGTGCTGGTTTTGTCCAATTGTGTTGCTTTAAAGCCCAGTTGGCAGAAGAATGTGCTGAATAAAGCTGAATAAACGTAATTGTTATCCACCAACTCTGTCTGCCACTAAAACTCAGTGGAATATGGTTGCAGTTCCTCTCTCTTCTTGCTAAATAGGGATGAAAATGCTGAGCATTTGTCAGTCACTTGGAAAATGCCCTGAAAGAGGCAGAGACCGTCATTGACCTCTTGTCCTCTCCAGTAGACTGTTGTCAAAGTCTTCATTATTGTTTGTTCCTGCTATGTTTTTGCTTCCCAGCAATATTGTCCTTTAAGGCAAGTTGAGCTGTGGATTTGGAACTGTGGGACATGCAAAGTGAGCAGTTAGTCACTCTACAATGCTGTGTTGCCTAAGCTGACTTTGCAGTCTTCACAGCAGACCCAGCTATAGAGCCCTAACAGGAATTTCCTATTTGAAATCCTTTTATTTCTGCCACAGCACAACCTCTGAGACTCTGTCCTGTGTGTGCCAGGTACAGTGTGATTAAATAATGCCAGGCTGCCGCTGTGTTCATTGAAGTTCTCATCAAAGGGTTTTATTATCCACTCAATATAGCCATGGAAGGGACTGTGGAATATACATCTGTTCACACCTGGCACACACATGGTTTCATCTGGTTCCTTATAAAGGAGTGGGAATATCTTTTGGGAATATGCTTTAACAGCAATTTCTAGGATGAAAATAACACCCCGTTTCCCTTTCCCAGATCTTCATTTGTTGCTCCCTTTCCCAACATTCTCTTTAAGTCTTTTCTTCTTTTCTCTGCTGCCTACTTCTTTCTCTTCTGATATTAGAGTTTTGAAATAATAAAAAAAAAACCCACAGAAAACCTGTGGATAGCACAACAATATAGGACTTATTCTCTGTAAAAACAATCCTTAAGGATGAGAATGAGGTTTTACTAGTCAGTTTAGTTATCAGGGTTGTGACCAATTAATTGTCTGTTGGGTCCATCTGTGTCAGGAAACTCTCAATAAAATAAATAGGATAACTTCTATGTCACAGAATGTTATCAGGAATACATAAAGTTGTGCATGAGAAAGCATAAAACTATTAATTCTCTACCCCCATTTTCTGTTTTTTTTTTTTTTTTTTGTGTGTGTGTCCTTAAAACTCCTGAAGGAATTATTTTGATTTAGTCTTTTATAAAGATAGCAAACAATATGTTGAGACCAGAATGCTTTTGAACAAATTACGTGGAGTTAATCAGAGTGGCCTTAAACATGAACATATGTAGCAGCTCGCACTATAGATGAATGACAGTGTGGTGCTGTGTTAACTGACGTACCTTCTTATCAGAGCAGTAGTGAACATTGCAGGCAGGTCATTTGCAGGAATGGCAAACAGCCTTAGCATGGTGTTTGACCACATAACTCACCCGAGAGTAGTTTTCTCTGTCTTAGAAAAAGCCTTGCAGGATATATAAAAGCCATACCTGGAGCTATTCATTCTGGTCAAGATATGGAATCAACCTAAATGTTCATCAATAGATGAATGGATAAGGAAAATATGCACAATGGAGTACTACTCAGCCATAAAAAGAATGAAATTCTGTCATTTGTGGCAACATGTATGAACCTAGAGGATATTCTGTTTAGTGAAATAAGTCAGGACAAGAATAAAAGTACTGTATGTTCTCACTCATATGTGGAAGCTAAAAAATAAACTTATAGAGGTAGCTTATAAAAGTAGCAAGTAGAATTGTGGTTATTAGAGGCTGGGAAGGGTAAAGGGAAGGGGAGAATGGGGAGAGTTTCATTAACAGATACAAAATTACAGCTGGATAGGAGGAATAAGTTCTAGTGTTTTTAAATTATTAACCATAGTCACCCTACAGGGTTAGCTTGCATTGGATTTTTCCAACTCAAGCTAACCCTGTAGGGTGACTGTAGTTAACAATAATTTATTATATATGTTCAAATCTAAAGGAGAGGATTTTGCATATTCCCAACACAAAGAAATGATACTTGTTTGAGGTGATGCGTATGCTAATTTCCTGATTTGATCATTACACATTGCATACATGTATCAAAATATCACTCGGTACCACATGCATATGTACAATTATTATGTGACAACTAAAAATAAAAGGGGGAAAAAAGCCATGCCTGGATCTCTATGCCAGAGGAAAAGCTGATGGGAGGGGAGACAAATGAGAAGGGAAGGAAACAGGAGGGAAAAGAACTCTTGGCTTTGTGTTGCATTTCATGTCTGTTTTCAGAGGAGGGAGCATGCTTCCATGCTTCTCAAAAACACAAATGCTACTGAGACTTATAAGCTGATCATAGGCTCTTATTTTGTTCTTTGTTATATTATGGAAAGTTCTGTAGCTTTTGGAGGCCAAACCAGAATCCAAAGTTCTGGAATATGTGTCATTCTTGAATGAAAATAAAAAGTCCAACTCAAGCTAGCTTGTTGCGTTATTGGCTAATATAATCCAAAGCAGGGAAAGTGGTCATGAACAATACTTTAGCAAATGGTTGTGGTGTTGTTCCAATAAACTTCTATTTATAAAAGCATTTGGCCGGTCAGATTTGTCCCACAGGCCATGGTTCATGACCCCTGCTCCAGTCACATGGCATGGGGGTTCATTTCACTGGACCTTTATCTCTCTATCTCATATAAAATTCAGGTAGTTTTACTGCATTTGCAATAGCCAGGTGATTCTATTATAATCTAGCACAGACATAGCGAATGAGCTTTATTTCATCTGTCCCTCCAAACAATTGGTAGAGAAATGCCTGTATATCTGTGTTCAGAGGATTCTGAGACTGTGTTAGGCTAAACAGAGAAATATGTCATTATCAATTAATAATGTTTAAAGTAGCCATAGAAGGGGATGTAGTAGTACATACATCTTGGTTTTGCCATTTCTGCTTTAGAATGTGGGACTTACATGGATTTATCTTCCTTCACATACAGATTTTCCCACTCTAGGGCCTCAAAAGATTTTTCTAACTTGATTCTTCTCAAGAGCCTAACGACAATCCAACAATGGCTAAGGTGTGACCCATTGCAATTGCTCATTTTTCTAATTTTTTTTCTTTTTAATTGAGACAGGGTGTTGCTCTGTTGCCTAGGCTGAAGTGCAGTGGCACAATTTCGGCTCACTACAACCTCTGCCTCCTGAGTTCAAGCGATTCTCATGCCTCAGCCTCCCAAGTAGCTGGGACTACAGGCACACGCCACCATGCCCGGCTAATTTTTATATTTGTAGTGGAGACAGGGTTTTGCCATGTTAGCCAGGCTGGTCCTAAACTCCTGAGCTTACATGTTCCACCTGCCTTGGCCTCCCAAAGTGTTGGGATTACAAGCATGAGCCACTGCGCCGGGCCTCTATTTTTTTTTTTTTTAAGTTTAGTGCAGAAGTAAGAAGATCACATAAAAATTCTATCAGGTGGAATGAATCGGGATTTCAGAGCTAATTCATGTTATGAAATACTTAAATGACATACTGTACTTATTAATTTTTGGAATATGAAATGGCTGGCACTGTACTACACTATATATTTTTTAAAGTCTTCCTTCAGTTCTCAATGATTTTGCATATACTGTGTATTTACCTGTGCTATACTCTCACTAACTTTTCTGACTAATTAATTTTTTCCCCGTTTCTTGAGAAGGCCAGAACAATTTTGAAAGCCACCAGGAGGAGAGAGGACACCAAGTAAACTGTTCTAGAGTCATGCCTGTAGATGAACCAGCACCATCTGAGGCTGTGCTAAAAAAACAAATGGTGTTTCTTGAAAATATCATCATTGGGAGGCAGTCGGCAGCTGTTAAAATTGGACAGCCGTTGCTCAGTGTCCAACGAGAAGGAAATTTTAACCATTAGTCTCTCCAACTTGATATTTAATTACCCTGAAAAAGAAGAAAAATATGAAATTTCTCTTCAGAATTCCTTATGAGTCATGCCCAAGTTTTCATAAAACAAATTTATTGCAGTTGTCTCAACAGTAGCTCTGTGAGCAGAGGGTGCAGTAAACCCATGTCTCCTTTTAGCTGGAGTTTGACTTTCACTGGGACAATAATCAGTTATTTTATTGATTCTTTCCTAAAGAAGTAAATAAAAAATTAAATAATATATTAAAATCACTTTTAAAACACTTTCTTATGAATTCGATTGGAAAGCTTTTACTTACCAAAAAGTGAGATGTGAGATATGGGAAAAAAGATAGGGTTTAAAAAGAAAGAGAAAGAAGAGACAAAGAGGTTGAAATGAGTTCTTAACCTAGACTGACTTCAGGGAAAATTTTGTAAGTTACTTGAAATTATATGCAAAATTGTATGTGTGTGTGTGTGTGTGTGTGTGTGTGTGTGTGTGTGTGAACATGTGAGGGATATTTAGGGGTTGAGTACTAGCCTTTCAATTGAGAATCGCTGATTAAATTCTTATCCAGAGAAGGTAGACTAAATATGTTCTGGAATTGCTGGGTCCAGTCTGTGGACTGGGAAAGAGTAGCAGCAAAGGGAAAATGGATATTAACTAAGAAAAATATTTTGTACTTCATAGGTTTGCCCAGGGGCAGCTCTAATCATGGCTACATGATTTTAGGTTCTGGAACAATGGCAGCCAAGGCAGGCTTTTCTTGGAAATCGTTGACTTATGACTGCTTCCCTCCTTCTCTGTTGTTAAGCAAACAGTTGTCACACCCTGGAGAGGCCCTGACAGTGAACGACAGCCCAAGGACAAGGCACCAGCTGAAAGCCAGCTTGGCTGCAAATTAGAGTATAATGGCAGAGTGGCTTCTGCTGCGAAGCGATTTGCATCAGAGCCCACCAACAATGCACATTCTGTAAGGCAGGCATTTGTAGGGGAAGGAAACAATAAATACATCATTTCTAAATAATTTAGAAGGGAATTTGCCAAAGGAAGGGGAGCAGATAAGATGGGAGACTTACTGTTTTTAGGTTATGCTACCTGGAATACTCATAATGCACCCAAGGGAAATTTACATTTAACCTTCAATAGATCTATATCAATTTCACCTTTGTGTGCTTGCTCGTTGCCCCTCCTTCTGTCCTCCCATAGTGCCTTGCTCATAACTCCATTATAGAGCTATACAAATGCAGTGCTTAGGCATATATTTCATTAAGTCATGTATTTATAGTGCTTAGGTATGTTTTCCCAAAGATCAGGTGGTTTCCACAACACTCCAGCATCCTAAGAATCCTATATAAATACATAATCAAATCTTTAAATGTTTTAACAACTGTACAAATGGGTGAACCTTGTGGAAGAACTCTGATCACAAATGCGCAAGACCAGAGGAGAGATTCAGTATGAGCTAAATGAAATTCTGTGGTAACAGAGACAGAAAATGCTGCAGGATTAAAATAGCAAGTGGAAAGAAGCAGTAGGAAAGGGGAAGAAAGAACCATGTTAGAATTTAACAAATAGTACTAATTATCAACATGGAGGAGCATAACACAGGAACATGTGTTGCAACAATCAGCAAGATAATACATTATATTGGGTATAAGATAAACATATAAATAAATAATACTATTGCATTAATGTAAGTATAAAGTTCTGCTAGAATGGCATACAGATACATAATAACTTTGGGTGCTTGATATGACCAGTTTCTCTTTTCTATCTGATGGTGAGTTTCATGGAGGTAGAGACTATGTCTTCTTCCTTTTATAATCTCCAGTGGTTAGGTCAACAGTTATCATACAGAAGATACCAGATAAATATTTGTTTAAAAGATGTCTGGCATTAAAATTTTTTGTAATCAGCCTGATCCTATCCACAGTTCTTCATTTTCCATTCTCTCCATGTCTACATCCTGCCCTACCCATGACTGCCTCATGAATCCATGTTGCAATGCTCTCTGCTCTTTGCCTTCCCAAATCTGTTCAATACCCATTATATTTCAGCGCAGCTTAAGTCCCACATTCTCTGTGAGGTCTCATCTCTCTGCCCTTTGTGTCTGGATTTCCTTCTCCTCTGCGTAAGTTAGAGCTCATAATGTTAATTTTTCACCATTTCATTTGTTCATTTTCCTGCCTGGACTACCAGCTCTTTGCCAGGAGGAACCATACCTCAAACAGGTAATTTTTTTTCTTTTTTTTAAGTTGAGACCAAGTCTTGCTCTGTCACCCAGGCTGGAGTGCAGTGGTGTGATCTCGGCTCACTGCAACCTCCGCCTCTTCGGTTCAAGCAATTCTCCTGCCTCAGCCTCCCAAGTAGCTGGGACTGCAGGCACCTGCCCCCACACCCGGCTAATTTTGGTATTTTTTAGTAGAGATGGGGTTTCACCATGTTGGCCAGGGTGGTCTCAAACTCTTGACCTCAAGTGATCCTCCCGCCTCGGCCTCCCAAAGTGCTGAGATTACAGACGTGAGCCACCTTTTTGCATTCTCCAGGCAGCCAAGCACATACTGAACACTTGATAGGCAGATACGTGCTTGTAAAATAGGGAGCATGGCTAGAAATGAGGAGGAATCTATTGCCGTGGCCCAAGTAATCCATAAAGGGTCTGAGAGCATGACAAGTGGGTGGGGATCTAGACTCAGAGATTTTTTCAGAGGTTGGGGTAGTTTCCCCATTTTCAGGGAGCTCATGTCTATGGAGGTGATAAAGCAGAAGGCTGGGTCTCTGTATATAGTATCCTTAGTGAGGAATCACACATTTTGTTAGGCTTTTCATTTATTTCCCACTTCAGCAGCTATAGTAACAGAGTCTAAATACTGAAATCATCTGTGTTTCTTTTGTGTGGTTACAATCTTTAGCTTTTCTTTCTCTCTAGGGCACTAATAGTAGCATTACTATTAGTAGTAGGTTAATGGTAGCATAGAGGTTTAGTTAGTCAGGCTATCATTATGAAACTCCTTTTTTACTGTCTCACCTTTTAGGTTGAAAACTTAATAATAAAATTGTTTCTATATTTTCATCTGGCATTTACTGCTTTGACAGCATTTTTCGTGCATCGAATACAAACAATAATAAATTTGATCTATGCACTATGCTAGCTTTTCATCTTTTTCTATGGGTTTTCAAAGGAATTCAGTTTATAAGTCCATAGATTAGAGTTCATTAAAAAGAGAGAGTGAATTTATTCTTATATTTGTTAATTAAAATAAAAAAAAACAAACTAAAAACCTGCTGTGTTAATTCTAACTTTTCTGTCCTGTGAACTCTGCTTTCGGAATGTCAAAGACTTTACCTTCCTGAAATTGTAGAATAATTCTCTATAGCTAAGCAATGATGTAGTATTCTTTAACCTTGTTTTCCATGAAAACATCTAATAGTCTATCGGAAGAATAAAGAAAGGCAAGATTCAAGATCTACCCAGTTTGATAGTATTGTTCTATGTGGTGGTAGCTTACTAATAGCTTTATTATTAAACCATGTAAGCAAAAGAAAGCACTACAGCTTAGAGGGAACTCAGACGGATCTGCTTTCAGCATGTAACTAAACCAGTGTGTAGAAACAAGTAATTAAAAAGACACAAAGCCCGTAATCAATTGTGCACCGGTTATCTTTGATTGCTCTTGCAAAGGACAAATTACACACAAGCCTCTTGCAAGCCTGAAGAAAAAGAGGTTCTATTATCTTCCGTTTGAAATCATTTCTCTGCACAGACAAGGGCATCCCTATTCCAGATCTCTTGGTTTAATTAAAAGGACGCAAACATCAGATGATGTTGCAGCATATCGAATGTTTCCCTGTCAGTGCAACGGGTGAAAGAGGGAGTGGGGAGAGAGGGAGTGGGGCATAGGGGTGGGGGTTGGTTGGAAGAATTTCTTTTCCATAAAGACTGGCCTTTTTCACTCTGACCATCTGTTTTCTCATGGTGAAAAGCCCCATTGCTGGTATCCTGGCATAGCTTTGCATGTCTTTGTGCTTGAGGGACATTCAATCTTGCATCTGATACACGCTGATCTGTGACACTTCCTAACAAATGAGCCTTTGTTCAAACAAAGAGACTCCCTGATAGGAACTGTAAACTTGGAGCTTGATATCCTGTAGAAAAGGCAGGCTATGGCTGAGCTGGCACAGGAAATGCTCTCTGTAATGCAACAGAGCTGAAGGAGGTCACACCCCGTGGACACATATGCTCTTTCAGATCTTCCCAGCCCTCGTCTCATCTCTGTCTCCTCTTCAGATAGGGCAGCTCCAAGAACACAGCTGCATTTGGACCTGGGAGAATGCAACCCATCTCCATTACAGGCTGAAGCTTACTCTTCATAATCATGCATCTACTTGTGTAGCTTCTTCATTTTACAAAGCATTCTTGAAATCATTAATCCCTTTGATACAATAACTTCATAAGGCCTCAAGGTGATCACACTCAAGACAATTATTTTGTGAACACTAATGCCAATTGCTGCTTATTTCTTGTCTCTTCCTTTTGTATCTTCTTTCCATTTCTTTGTCTCTCTGTCTCTCTCCTAGCCCTTCCTTCTCCCCAGTTAATGATCTTAAATTTGGGGCTCTCAACTTCAAATTCATCTATCTTTTCACCACCAGATGTTTCCGTGGTCCCTTAGTATTTAGACTAAGGGTGCAGAATAGAAAAATGTATAATTTGCAGCCGAGTCATAGATGGTGATTTGGGGAAAGTGGCAGAGAAGGCCGTCACTCAGAAAAAATACTAAATATTTCAAGTTACGATTTAGAATCCTGTTAGAATGTAAGCTTCCTTCCAAAGAATGTCACTTAAAAGTGCTGTTTCCTCTCCTTGGCAAACTCTTGCACACTAGAGACCTAGCTTAGAGGGACCTTCTAATGCAGCCATTCTCTGCTTCCCACAGGCAGAGTTAATTGTTGCTTCCTCTGTGTTCCCACCCCAGTTTGCCCTTACCTCAGTGCCATTTTGTAGCACGTTGTAGTCTGAGCTATTTGTTTATGTATCTATCTCCCCTACCAAGCTGTGAACCACCGTGTAGGAGTTGTGTATTTATTATTCATTCTTGTGAATTTCCAGTATTTCATGAAGTGCCTGACCCGTAATAGGCTCCCAGTAACAGTATGTCGAATAAATAAATTTTGTTGGTTAAACATTGATATAGTTGGGAGGGAAGAAAAAGGAAAAAAAAGAGCAGAATAGGGAAAACTGACTTCACTCACATCTATAAATTTTTCCTTGGCCCGGACCTGTTATTTGGCTTCCTGCCCCTTACCACTTCAACAGTGCAAAGTAGTGTTTGATTCAAGAATTATCTTAGATGCAGCTTCTCAGTTTTGGGGACTAGTACTTTAAGAAAAAACAAACAAACAACAACAACAAAAAAACAAAGATACTTGAATTACAGAGAACTTAAGTAACATTTCAAAGTTAAGTTTTTTATTACTTAGTAGACCTATTACCAAGCAAATATAAAGGTTTTGGGGCCCAATAAGGCCCTGGAGATACAGGAAAGAAAATTTGTCCACTGGAGCACTTTAACATGGAAATGTTGTAGGGAAGACAGTGAGCTGCTGAAAGGAGAATGGCTACACAGACTTTCAATCTCACTTTTCAACTGGCTTGCTCAACCACTTATACCATTATTTACCTTTTCTGAACCTCGCTTTATGAAATGAGAATATAAATGCTGGCACGCCTAAATGGGATTTTATGAGGATTAACTAAACATGATTGTAAAATATTTTAGGAACATAAGGTACTGGATGAAACAATTAATATTCATAATTTTGAGACCAGAGAGGATTTCATAGGGTAATGTTGTGTGGCAAGTTGCAATTGTATTGCATTTTTTTTTTTTTTTTTTTTTTTTGAGACGGAGTCTCACTCTGTCGCCCAGGCTGGAGTGCAGTGGCGCGATCTCGGCTCACTGCAAGCTCCGCCTCCCAGGTTCACGCCATTCTCCTGCCTCAGCCTCCCGAGTAGCTGGGACTACAGGCGCCCGCTACCACGCCCGGCTAATTTTTTGTATTTTTAGTAGAGACGGGGTTTCACCGTGTTAGCCAGGATGGTCTCGATCTCCTGACCTCGTGATCCGCCCGCCTCGGCCTCCCAAAGTGCTGGGATTACAGGCGTGAGCCACCGCGCCCGGCCCTTGTATTGCATTTTTAAGGGAGGTGGCTCAAACTTGCATTTCTAATCCCTTTTTTATATAGCTGGCAAAAATATAACAGGAAATTGATTAATTAAAGTTTGGTAGCACATTGGAATTTACTCAAAAACAGCTTCTAAGTAAGAGTAGTCCATGGTCAATGGGTACAGTAACTGTACTTGCCTTGTTACGGCCAGTTTGAATGTCACCATGTAAAACCCAGGAAAGGCTCACAAAGGCAATAGGAACAAAACAACCTTGGCTGTTGTCATTCTGGTTACTCGTTCAATCAAAGGTAACCAATAATTGAATCTATAAGTGATTGCCAAAATATGCAGCTTTTGATGATGCTGTTATTTAAAGAAAGGTATCAAAATAATTAATTCTGTGATCAGAGAAATGAGCACAACCAATGGATCTAGAATTTGATGTTCAACCTGTTGAAATGCCAGAAACAACTTCATAAGGGGTTTTTACTTATTTTATTTCTTTATTTATACTTTTTTTTGTAACTTTTATTTTAAGTTCCAGGGTACATGTGCAGGATGCGCAGGTTTGTTACAGAGGTAAATGTGCGTCATGGTGGTTTGCTGCACATATCATCCCATCACTTAGGTATTAAGTCCAGCGTCCATTAACCATTCTTCCTGATGCTCCCCCTCCCCCAACACCACCAATAGGCCCCAGTGTATGTTATTCCCCTCCATGTGTCCATGTGTTCTCATTGTCCAGCTCCCACTTATAAGTGAGAAATGTGGTGTTTGGTTTTCTGTTCCTGTGTTAGTTTGCTGAGGATAATGGCTTCCAGCTCCATCCATGTCCTTGTAAAAGACATGATCTCATTCCTTTTTATGGCTGCATAGTATTCCATGGTGTATATAGATCACATTTTCTTTATACAGTCTATATTGATGGGCATTTAGGTTAATTCTATGTCTTTGCTATTGTGAATAGTGCAGCAATTAACATACACATGCATGTATCTTTATAATAGAAGGTTTTATATTCCTTTGTGTATATACCCAGCAATGGGATTGCTGGGTCAAATGGTATTTCTGCCTCTAGATCTTTGAGGAATCACCACACTGTCTTCCACAATGGTTGAACTAATTTACACTCCTGCCAACAGTGTAGAAGCATTCCTTTTTCTCCACAAAAGATTATACCATGAAATCATAATGTTAGTTTATCATCTCAGGGAATCTTTAGTGAGTTCTTTGCTATGTTTTGTTGCATTGATGTTCTTAAAATGTGTCATTAAGAAGATAGGAAAGGTGTTCATAATTGTAAAGTAAAATGAGGAGAGTGAGGCCTGCCACATAAGTGACATCTTCTCCCATCCCATGCAATTATTTTCCCTTGGTATCAGTGGAGACCTGTGTTCTGATTAAGAATGCCAAATTTCCAAACTTGTCTAATCTCATGTGAAAAAGGATGTTTTTAAAATGAGTTGAGCTGTGGGAACAATTCTCTCAGCACTTTCAAGAAGAGATATTGATTTTTTCCTTCATATTATTTTTCAGATTTCTTCCCTCTTTTCCATTCTTACTATCAGCCCTGAAGGCCAAATCTTCATCACTTAACTTGCTAGAAAAATAGTTCTCAATCTTGGCAGCACAATAAAATCTCTCTGGGAGCTTTAAAAAATATTGACATCTGAGTTGGAATCTCAGAGATTCTGATGTAATTGGTCTGGGATGGGTTCTGAGTGTTGAGATATTGAAAGAGGCCCTGGTGATTCTAAAGTGTGGCTAAGGAATGGAACCAATGACCATGAGCTCTCCTCTGCCCAGTCCATCCTGCAAACCACTCACTTAGTTTTAACTTGATAGCCATTATAATAACTGGCTCTTCCTTGGTCTTACTACAGTCTTACTAAAAGTACATCTCACCTCCATTTTTCTCATTTTTATTTTCTGTTTTAGTATAGACATTTAATCTTAAATGTTTGGAAATAGGAGTCAAATAGATGATAAATTTAATGAAATGCCAACGCTAGATAAATATTTTCCCAACGATGCTTCAATCATTTTACTCATTCAAAAATTCTTTAAACTTCCCTATTGCTAAGTTCCAAAACTCTTTGATCTAGCATTTAATATTTTTGAAAAATTTTAAAGCTCATTTTATTTTTCAGATTTACCTAGACCACTGCTGCTCTTTCTGTATCCCATGCTTTACTAAAATGAACTACTTGCTCTTCCCTGCAACGTGCCTCACGGTACCGTCTCTGTGCCTCTTCTTTTACTTTTCCGTCTACTGAGAATGCCTTGAACCAGCTCCAACTCCTTAAATATAAACCATCTCTAATATGCCAATTAATATGCCACTTTCCTTAATCAAACTTTTCAGTTTTGATGAAAATGGGGGTACTTCCTCCTTTATTTCAACTCCTTAAAACTCTTCTCCTTCTACATTTTATGCTTACTCTATGATGACTTATCTATTTTATTCTTTTCTCTTCCTTTCTTCCACTCTACTGAAAGATCCTCAAGGGCCAAATCCAAGGCTATTTCCTTTGGAGAAGGCTGTTTTAGAGTCACATTCTGTTTTTGTGTCCCGATTTTACCTTTACAAGATATGTGAATTATTCTTGTCTCTGGGTTTTGCTTTCTTATATTTTAAATGGGGAATTAATATCATGTTGTTCATAGAGTTACGGGGCAAATTAAATGAGTTATTCCATGGAATGTACTTAGAATAGTGCCCTGCACAAAGTGAGCACCTTCTAAATGTTAGCTATTTTTATTAGCTTGCTTTAACGGAGGCTAGGGTAATATCTTGTATATTTTAAGGAGTTAAAATATTTGTTAAACACAAAATTCTTTGGCACTTGGAAAGATTCCAAATGCCCAAACTATACATATTTTTAGCTTATAATCTTTAAATCATTTTTACAGCTACTTGAAGGAGCATGTGGGCCAAAGTGACCTGAAATTTTGTTTGAAAAAATGGAAAACATAATTTCTAACAGGTTTGGTATCTTGTGTTGAAAATCTTCAGTTCCATAGGTAGTGCTAGAGATTCACCTCTGTGAAATGCCCAAACCGTCAATTGTAGTGATTTATTGTGTGCTGATTTCCACAGGAATTAAAAAAATAGTTGAATATCCAGAAGCCATTGAAATTCTTTAGCTTAAAACAGGTATGTGCAAAGAAACTCAATAGGCGAATTATATATTCTGGGAACAAAATGTCTCTATATAGATTCCATTTAATAATATACACTTCACAGGTCTTTGGAGATAAGACTATAAATATGACTGTCAGATTTAAGCAATAAATATTTTAACACCAGCACATCTTAAACTCATATCCATTTATGTCTCCGATGTCATAAAATTGAATTGACATTTTGGTTTCCAAGACTGAAGAAAAGAATAAATAAAATGTTGTGTGACTGTACAATCAGTTATTGGGGGTTTTCCCCCTTCTATGTTGACTTTTGAAGTGTTTGAAGTGACTTTTTTGAAATTAATAATTAATCTCTTCAAGGTGTTCTTTTTGCAGTTGGTGAGGGCGGTCAATGTTAAGGGAAAACAGATAAGAACAGAGGACAAGTTCTGACTGACCAAGGCGGTGTGTTTGCAAGGGAATAAAACACTCCACAGATTGGACTGCTTGGTACTTGCCTCCTGGTTGTAAATATGGTCTTGTCTTCAGCCATTTCCCAGGAAACTTTGTCAAGGAATTAACTCTGGAGATATTTATGCAAATGAAGTATAATAGTGAAGGTTTGAAGTAACAGTTTACAGCTACTGAAAATGAGAGAGAGAGACAGAATACTAGAATTATGAAAGACTCTTCAGGGCAATGCTGAAGATAGTTTATCGTCTAAGTCACATATTGAGAACGGCACTTGGGAATTTATTACGTATTTTCAGTTTTTACATTTTCACCTGTTTCTGGCTTTCCAAACTATGTTTGTTCATAGAATTTATGGCTGGTATTTCATTCAAATCAATGGAAGATCAAGCATTTGTATTCTTGGAAGAAACTGTATTTCTTTATCATACCTCATGTAGAGCTTATTATGTTCCAGGCAATGTGCTCTAAGTTTTACATGTAATTACTAATTTAATCCTCACAACAACCCTATGAAATAGATGCTATTATTATCCCCATTTTATGCATGAAGTAATTGAGGCCCAGAAAGATTAAATACCTTGCTCAAGGCCACAGAACAGGTCAGGAATTGAAGTCACACTTTCTGATTCTGGAGGTCAGGCTTATATCCTCTAAGTTATGCTGCTTCAGAATGAAAGACACAGCAATCACAATAGGAATCAGAGCATGTTCTCACTGCAGTTTCAGCATTTTGCTTTTGTTGTTTAAGAGAAGAGATAATGGTGCTAACCTGGCACAGGAGGAAAGGAATCAATCCAAAAATGCGGCAAAAGAACACCAGGGGTCTGAATTGACTGTAAAGTTAGAGCAAAAGCTTCAAAGTGTTCTGGCCCTGGGCCTGCATTGATCTACTGAGTGAGCAGCTGATGGCTCAGAGAACGGTGTACAGTGAGTTTTGAGGTGTAGTTTAATAAAAAAAAATGTAAAGGTAAAACACATAGAAGAGAGAGCACTAAGGGCCCTTGTGTTACAACAGGAAATGGTTTCCCAAAATGCCACTGTGCTTCTCTAGCCTTCTCTGAGTAGGAAAATATTCTGAAGATATTCTACAGAAGCCAGCTGTTTGGATGCCTCGATTTAAATACTGATTCCGCAACTAACTGACTTCACAGCTTTGGTCCAGGTATTAAATTTCTTTTAATCACGGTTTGCCCATTGGTGGGACAGTGCTAGTAATAGTATCTACCTCAGGGTTATTATGAGAATTACGTAAGATAATCTACATTAAGTACTCCAGTACAGTCAATGTTCAGTAATTTTTTTGTCCTTTTTTCTCTCCCATAACATATGATGGATCACAATTTTGTCTGCTACAATTATTTATTCAGTTTCCACTGCCTGGATGCTGGGATATACAAAATATAGTCTCTGCTCTGGGGACCCTAAAAGATAAGCATGAACCAGACACAATAACCCATAAATGCAAATACTTTGTGATAAGATATGCATTGTATATATTTTTACAGATCAGTAAGTGAACCACAAGTATTGCAACAATTTGTAATCAATTTCCCAGAGCAAAAAACATAGTTTTTACAGATATATAACATAATAAGATGCATTAAGTATGCATATTTATACATTGAATTATGCATCAATTAATATGATGCATTAATTAATGGGGAGATGTTGGCCAAAGTGTACAAACTTTCAGTTATGAGATAAATAATTTCTGGAGTCCTAATGTACAGCATGGTGACTATGATTAATAATAAAGTATTATATACTTGAAATTTGCTAAGAAAGTAGATCTTAAGTATGCTCACCCTGCCCCCCACACACAAAGGTAACTATGTGAAGTAATGGATGTGTTAATTAGCTTGATCATGGTAATCATTTCACAAAATATACATATATCACAAAATCATGTTGCATACCCTAAACATATATAATTTTTATTTGTCTATTATACCAGGATAAAGCTGGGAAAAAAAAAAGAGATACATTCACTGTTGTCTGCCTTGTATGTCTCTGTGACATGCCTGGCAGCTTGGTGGGTCTTGTTAGGCAGAGGATTCTGCACCCACATTCAGTGCACTGGATACCTTGCAGGCCAGGCACAGGAGAAGTTTGTCCAAGAGACCTGCAAGGGTCTTCTTGATTTTGCCCAAAGGATATCAAACATCCAATATAAAGGAGAGGCATGATGGAAAGAAAGGTTTTACACAGTTTCCTTAATTATAGTAACAGGATGGTGTTGAAGGTTTCTGAGGATGAAATCATAATTCCTGAAGTAGTATGTCATAAAGCTTCTTTGAATTGTACTTTTTTTAAAAAAAGCTTTAGTTTGTACATGCCAATCTGTTATAATGCTTCAAAAGAAAATATGACAAATGAATTTTAAATATTTAATATTAATACCAAATTTGTAGGGTAGCATACACTTCTGTTGCCTCCTGTCCCATCCTTTGGCCAACCTCTGATTTTAGCCACAGCTGCAGGGCACAGTTTTCTGCACTCTTAGCCTCAGCTGACAGCATCCTGTACTAAACTTCTTGATGAGTCTTCCCATTTTCTACAGGAGATCCTTTCCACAGCCATAGCTCCTGCTCGGCCCATGGACATGCCCAGGCCAGGAATATACTGGCTGTTAATGCACCAGTGGGGCTGGTGTGTGTCCATCCTTCTGATGAACAATTATGGGACACATTCTCCATGCTTCTTCAAAGTCTGGCTGAATTAAGTTTCCATCGTACTAACAGTTTTTTTTTTTTTTTTTTTTCAGTTGGAGTATTGCTCTGTCGCCAGGCTGGAGTGCAGTGGCACAATCTTGGCTCACTGCAACCTCCGCCTCCCAGGTTCAAGCGATTCCCCTGCCTTTGCCTCCCGAGTTGCTGGGACTACAGGCGTGCCACCATGCCAGGCTAATTTTTTTTTTTCATATTTTAGTAGAGATGGGGTTTCACCATGTTGGCTGGGATGATCTCGATCTCCTGACCTCATGATCCACCTGCCTCAGCCTCCCAAAGTGCTGGGTAACACATTTTTATGTTGATTTTTGCCCCCTTCCCTGTTGTAATCTGCTTGTTCCATTATTCCTGTTTTGGGGGTCACCCCTAAGTAGTTAGTCTGCATTTAGTCTCAGTGTCTCCATTGAGAGAACCCATGGTAAGACATAAAAATTTAACAGCTAAGTGAATTTATAATCTCAAGTTAGTTAAATAAATCAAGTAAAGAGAAATGGGCAAATTAGAAAATCTGTGTGTTTGACTCAGTTATAGAGACTACAAAATTGGGATCATCAATGGAATCTCCATTTAGGCCAATTATCATCATAGAGATGTGTATGATAGCAAACCTCTTACATAAGAAGACTAGTACAGAGCATTACAACTTCTAGGAAAAGCCTTTTAAGGGAACTCACCTTTCTAAGACGTGTTCAGTTACTACATATTTCCATAAGAAGAGCAGAGATACTTTGTCTTAAATACATGAGGAGAAAATTGAAACTCGTATTTTTCTTCTCAATAAACAATTTTAAGTCATAACTGAAGCTGTGCTGAAAGAACTTAAAGACATATGGACCACTTTCACTTAGTTTAAATCAATAAGACCAACATAATAGCCTCATTCTTCTTTGGCTGGTTTATGACAGCTGCTTGTGTTAGAATGTCAATGAAAGCCTGCGACAGCAATATAAACGCTATCATATTGATTGTGACATAAGCTTTGAGCTGATTCAAAGGAAAGTACACAGTGCAAAGTATCATTCTTATCACTTTATAATCATTAGTAAAAAATCACAATGATTATCACTAGCAAAGGTATTTACACTGTTGTATATGAAACTGACAAGTATATAACCCAAACTGTTGCAAAAAGCAGGCGTTATAGGTATGGCAAATACACCTTCTCAGAATTAAGAGAAAAGTAGAATGCAGGATCATTTCTGAAAAATAGTCTATATACTTTTGCATCTTTAAATGTGAAGTTCTTAATGAACATGATTATACTTGAGTTCTAAGTTAACATTGGTTAGCTAAAAGTTTTCACTTTAGATTCATTTGCTAGTTTTCTTTCTTTCAGGTGTAAATATATGTCAGTTATGAAATGTATACTGCATTTTAGATTATCTGTGACTCTAAGTAATCCCCATGCCAACTCTTATAAATGGCAGTCAGTCCTTTTGATTTTGCAGGTTTAAGGGAACACTATCAGAGCAAAATTAAAGAGACCCTAGATAATTTGTTGTCATGAAATTTCTACCAGAATAGAATCAGAAACTGGATTTGGCCAAAAGTCATTGAAGTTCCTTGAAGTAAATTAGCAGAAGAGAAGTTCTTCCCTGAATGTTATTGGAAAATCTGGTTAGTGTTATGAAGCTGTCATTGCTGTTAGAAGTTGCTGGAGAACTATGTTCATTCTCCGTATTTGGTAGCTATTTGAGAATTTGTCTGAGTGTTGTTTATGAAATGGGGATGTTTAAGGTAGTGAAGTTGACAGGAAATTACTGTGTGACAAATGATCTGAGAATTGTTAAGTGTTGCACTTCTGTTCAATTCAGATGTCTCTGCTGCATACAAATGGCAGTGTGTATATAGCATGTCTCTTAAATGGATAGGTTGATTTGTCTTATAAATTATGATTGACATTGTTCACTAATATTCCTGGTCCTCTAATCCTTCTGGGAGAATAGGAGGGTTGCATGTCTTTGTCCCATTAAAGTTAGACAAACATGTCATATGCCCTGACCAACAAAGTGAGAGCAAAGTGACTGGTGGCACCTCTGAGCTAAAGCACAGAAGATCATGTGCATAATTTCCTTTATTCCCTTTGTCACCCTGCTAAAACCTGGAGGCTCTTGTGAGATTGCAGCTGCATAGGAAGATAGAGGCTTTGTCCACTTGGGCCTCTGAGTGACTGCCATAAACCTAGCTTCTCTGTTGTCTTACATGGGTTGTGTACATGAGAAATCAACTTTTGCTGTGTTATATCATGAAAAAGTTGATGTTTTTCATTAATGCATATAAACTAGCACATAGAGACTTACACATAGGATTAATTAATGTGTTTATTTATTATTTATTACACATTGAAAGTGATGGCAGAAACCACAATTACTTTCACACCAACCCAAATATTTTAAAAGGCACTATTTATGTGAATAAACTCCTTGTGACTAGAAATAGCTCTTATACATAGAATATATTTGTGTAATATTTAACCTACTGTAACTCTACCTTTATTAAGTGTATCTTGTGTGCAACATCCATATTTATGGCAAGATAACATCCCAGGAAAGAATAAAACCCAAATCAGTGGCTGTATCAGTGATGGAAACATAGTAGACACACAGAAAACATTTCTTGAACTGAGTTAGGTCTTATAAGAAAGCAAGTGTGCAAGAAAGAGCCTTTTGGCCACAAACCACATTAGAGAAAGAAATGCAGGAGAGAAAACAAAATCATGATGAGATAAAGAAAGCAAAGTAAGCTGCAGGGTTTTTACATAGCCAGAACGTGGGTAGGTTCAGGCCAGAAAAATGGGAACACATTGATGGAGTGAACCCAAAGATTGAGGAAAGATAAAGCTGGTTGTGCAGTTTTCAAAGGAGTTTTAGAACTTAGGCTGTGTCTCCAGATATCAAAAGTTTGATCGAGTTTCATATTGGTTTTACAGCCCTGATGGACTTTTTGTCAAGTTGATTGTGTTATATAGACAGAGTGATTTTGTTTTTATTTTCTTAGAGAGTTGTGTGTCATATCTAATCATATGTCTTATCTCACATAGGTTAGTAGTGATTTTTATGGTAAGAAAAGCTTTCTTTTTCAACATCATAAACATTTATGGAATTCATAATAATATAAACTTTTGTATTTCTCCTTTTCCACTTATAATTTTTTAATGCTTCTATTCCCTGCAAGAGCGATGCTTCATGAGGGTAGAAATGATACTAGTCTTCAACATGGAATTCTCATTATTACCACAATGACTTGTACACAGTAGATGTTAAATATCTTTTGAATGAGTTGATAAATATGTATATTAAGCTTCTAAGCTCCTCTTTGGCACGGTGCTACTTCATCCGTCTATTCTTATTTCCATTAGACCCTACCACACACCACCCTACACTCTGGCCTGCATATAAGCATCAACCATCTTTGTTCTTTGAGTTACTTGCTTTCCTTCCTCAATATGTTTCATCTCTCTGCCTAATATTAAAAGCTAACTTTTATGACTAAGTCCTTTGCATTTGTTATCCCATTTTCTAAAACAAAACAAAAAATAAAACAATCAGGTAGGTACTATAATTAACACCATTTACAAATGAATAAGGCTTAGAAAGGTAAGCTATCTTACTTCTGTGAGCCCCATAGCTCCCCAGCCACACAGCTGCTGATGTCTGCTTCATTATAGAACCATTGCTCCTAACCACCTTTTGTACATTCTTCAAGCCTCAGTTCAAACACTACTTCCTCCATAAAGCTTTCTTTTATTACGTTGATCTTCACTAATCTCTACTTTGTCCCAAACACCTGTTATACTTAAAGTCAGCACCACATTGCTCACTCTCGATTGTTCTGTATGAGTTCATGTGTATTAATTTTATCTGTACCATTAGATCTTACAGTCCTGAATAGAAATTGAGCCCTATTTATTTTGTATTATTCCATTATGTCTAGCAAAGTAGAGATGATTAAGGAAAACTTCCTAGTTAATGGATCAAAAAAGAATAAAGTAATGTTAGAATTGCAAAATTTATCCCAGAATTTTCATCTAGAATTTTTCCACAAGGCTAGAGTCTGACAAAGACCTAACTATTTCTTTTGATATCTTTCATTTAAAAAAAGTTTAGTTTACTTCCTGCCACTCAGAAACTTAAAACCATATCTTCAGATTTGGGATTGTTAGAAATAACCTTTTGAAGATGAGATGAAAACTGTTATTTTCAGTCATTAAAAATGTTTTAAGAACAAAGGAATCATGTGACAACTTGTGACTAATGCAATCAGAGAAGCCGGAGATTGGGATGTTTATTTTTACACATTGGGAAGGAAAAAGTAAGGATCAGCCTCTAAGTTTGACACCTCAAATGAGTTCAGTGGTTTTGCATCATATCACATGGACATAGTGCCTCTCTTCATGCCTCCACAGAAGTAGGCAGAGACACAGAAGAAGGCCCCAGGCCAGAGCTGTGAGTACAAACTGGATCTAAGCCTTAATAACTGAATCCAACCACATAAACAACTCAGAACAAGTGAAGAAGTGCCAAACTTGTCCTTGTGAGTTTCCCTGTAAATTAAAAATAAACTGGAACAATTATGTATTCAGATTATGGAAAAGTAATGAAATTGAAACTGATTTAAGTAAATGATTTATGATTCCCAAATACCTAAAACTACTACAAAATTAAGTTTATCTTGTGCAAAAGGAAAAAACAAAATACATGGAGCCCTTGGTTAGGTTTGATATTCTTCAAAGACATTACAAGATATTCCAAAATGTCAACTTGAATCATGGATTCAAACTTAGACTAAGAACAAACAATAGTCATTACCTAAGTCTCTTTTGTGGCCTTTGTAAAACCAACTCACTATTTAAGTTCATTTCCAATGCAAATATGTCACCAGCATTTAGTGGCAGGGTTGCTGTGTGTGTTCACACACAGTGGGGCAAGTGAGAATCAAGAAATTCACAAATGGGCCATCTGGGTTCCATGCAGAATCTCCTCTTCTCCCATTATGTTAAAGCGGCACTACTTCCTCCTACTGATCAGGTTCAGTTACCCTTGCTATGTTGTGGGGATTCAATGTTTGTGGATCAGGCATTGTGTCAGCGAGGCCTGGACAGCGAGGATCTGTGGGCAGAAAAAACAAATTCATATGTCCAGAGAGGGATTTTCTTTTCTTTTTTTTTAACGTTTATTTTAGGTTCAGGGGTACATGTGCAGGTTTGTTATATAGGTAAATTGAATGTCACAGGGGTTTGGTGCACCCAGGTAATAAGTGTAGTGTCCAATAGGTAGTTTTTGATCCTTTCCCTCCTCCCGCCTCTGCCCTCAAGTAGGCCCTGGTGTCTGCTGTTGTCTTTTCTGTGTCCATTTATACTCAATGTTTAGCTCTCACTCATAAGTGAGGAAATGTGGTATTTGATTTTCTGTTCCTGTGTTAGTTCACTTAAGGTAACGGCTGCTAGCTCCAACTGTGTTGTTGCAAAGGACATGACCTCACTTTTTTCTGCTGCATAGTATTCCATGGTGTATATGTACCACATTAAAAATTTTTTTTTCCATAAGTTATTAGGGTACAGGTGGTATTTGGTTACATAAGTAAGTTCTTTAGTGGTAATTTTGGTGCATTCATAACCCAAGCAGTATACACTGCACCATATTTGTAGTCTTTTATCCCTCATCCCCCTCCCACTCTTCCCCCCAAGTCCCCAAAGTCCATTTTATCATTCTTATGCCTTTGCGTCCTCATAGCTTAGCTCCCACATATCAGTGAGAACATATGATGTTTGATTTTCCATTCCTGAGTTACTTCACTTAGAATAATAGTCTCCAATCTCATCCAGGTCATTGCAAATGCTGTTAATTCTTTTTATGACTGTTAATTCTTTTTATTATCTGTTAATTCCTTTTTATGACTGTGTAGTATTCATATATATATATTATGTATATATAATATATATATACACCACAGTTTCTTTATCCACTTGTTGATTGATGGGCATTTGTGTTGGTTCCATGATTTTTCAATTGTGAATTAATGCTGCTATAAACATGTGTGTGCAAGTGTCTTGGAAACAACCCAAATGCCCATCAATGATAGACTGGATAAAGAAAATGTGGCTCATATACACCATGGAATACTATGCAGCCATAAGAAAGAATGATATCATGTCCTTCGCAGGGACATAGATGAAGCTGGAAGCCATCATTCTCAGCAAACTAACACAGATGATAATGTGATTTTTAATTCTGTTTATGTGGTGTATCACATTTACTGACTTGTGTATGTTAAACCATCCGTGCATCCTTGATATGAAACCCTCTTGATCATGTTGGGTTATCTTTTTGATACGTTGTTGGATTCAGTTAGCTAGTATTTTATTAAGGATTTTAGCATTTATGTTTATCAAAAATATCTGTCTGTAGTTTTCTTTTTTGGTTATGTCCTTTCCTGGTTTTGGTATTAGGGTGACGCTGACTTCATAGAATGAATTAGGGAGGGTTCCTTTTTTATCTTGTGGAATAGTACAAAAGGATTGGTACCAATTCTTCTTTGAATGTCTGGCAGAATTCTGCTGTGAATCTGTCTGGTCCTGGATTTTTTTGTTGTTGTTAATTTTTAAATTGCCATCTCAGTCTCACTGCTTGTTTTTGGTCTGTTCAGGTTATCTAATTCTTCCTGATTTAAGTTAGGAGGGTTGTATTTTTTTTAGGAATTTATCTATCTCTTCTAGGTTTTCTAGTTTATGTGTGTAAACGTGTTCATAGTAAACTTGAATAATCTTTTGTATTTCAGTGGTGTCAGTTGTAATATCTCCTGTTTTGTTTCTTAGTGAGTTTATTTGGATTTTCTCTCTTCTTTTCTTGCTTAATCTTGCTAATGGTCTATCAGTTTTATTTATCTTTTCAAAGAACCAGATTTTTTTTTCATTTATCTTTTGCATCTTTTTTGTTTCAATTTCATTTAGTTCTGCTCTGATCTTGGTTATTTCCTTTCTTCTGCTGGGTTTGGGTTTGGTTTGTTCTTGTTTCTCTAGTTCCTTGAGGTGTGATGTTCACGTGTCAGTTTGTGCTCTTTCAGTCTTTTTGATGTAGGCATTAAGGGCTATGAACTTTCCTCTTAGCACTGCCTCTGCTGTATCCCAGAGGTTTTGATAGGTTGTGTCATTATTGTCTTTCAGTTCAAAGAATTTTTTAATTTCCATCTTGATTTCATTTTTTACTCACTGCTCATTCAGGAGCATGTTATTTAATTTCCATGAATTTGAATAATTTTGAAGGTTCCTTTTGGAGTAGATTTCCAGTTTTCTTCCACTGTGGTCTAAGAGAGTGCTTGATATAGTTTCAATTTTCTTAAATTCATTGAGGCTCATTTTAGGGCCTATCATATGGTCTCTGTTGTAGAAAGTTCCATGCACCGTTGAATAGAATGTGTATCCTGTGGCTGTTGGATGAAATGTTCTGTATATATCTGTTAAGTCCATTTGTTCTAAGTTATAGTTTAAATCCATTGTTTCTTTGCTGACTTGCTGTCTTGATGACCTGTCTAGTGCTGTCAATGGAGTACTGAAGTCCCCAACTAATATTGTGTTGCTATCTCGTTTCTTAGGTCTGTTAGTAATTGTTTATAAATTTGGGAGCTCCAGTGTTAGAGGCATATATGTTTAGGATTGTGATATATTCCTGTTGGACAAGGCCTTTTACCACTATATAATGTCCCTCTTTGTCTCTTTCAACTGCTATTGCTTTAAAGTTTGTTTTGTCTGATACAAGAATAGCTACCCTTGCTTGTTTTTGGTGTCCATTTGCATAAAATGTCTTATTCCACCCCTTTACTTTAAGTTTATGTGAGTCCTTATGTGTTAGGTGAGTCTCCTAAAGACAGCAGATGGTTGGTGAGTTCTTGCCTATTCTGTGGTTCTGTATCTTTTAAATGGAGCATTTAGGCCATTTACATTCCCATGTTAGTAATGAAATGTGAGGTACTGCTGCATTCATCATGCTTTTTGTTGCTGGTGTAATTTGGTTTTTTGTTTTTGCTTTTTAACTTGTATTTTTGTTTTGTAGGTCCTGTGTGATTCATGCTTTAAAGAGGTTCCGTTTCTATGTGTTTCCAGGATTTGTTTCAAGATTTAGAGCTCCTTTTAGTAGTTCCTGTAGTGGTGGCTTGGTAATGGTGAATTCTCTCAGCATTTGTTCGAAAAAGACTGTATGTTTCCTTCATATATGATGCTTAGTTTTGCTGGATACAAAATTCTTGGCTGAAAATAGTTTTGTTTGAGGAGGCTAAAGATAGGGCCCCAATCTCTTCTAGCTTGTAGGATTTCAGCTGAGAAATCTGCTGTTAATCTGATAGGTTTTTCTTTATAGGTTACCTGGTGCTTCTGTCTCACAGCTCTTAAAATTCTTTCCTTTGTCTTAATTTTGGATAACCTGATGACAATGTGCCTAGGTGAAGATCTTTTTGCAATTAATTTCCCAGGTGTTCTTTGTGCTTCTAGTATTTGGATGTCTAGGTCTCTAGCAAGGCTGGGGAAGTTTTCCTTGATTATTCCCCCAAATATATTTTCCAAGCTTTTAGAATTCTCTCCCTCCTCAGGAACACCAATTATTCTTAGGTTTGGTCATTTAATATAATCCTAGACTTCTTGGAATCTTTGTTCATACTTTCTTATTCTTTTTTCTTTGTCTTTGTTGGATTGGGTTAATTCAAAGACCTTGTCTTTCTGGTCTGAATTTCTTTCTTCTACTTGTTCAATTCTATTGCTGAGACTTTCCAGAGCATTTCACATTTCTAAAAGTGTGTCTAAAGTAAAAGTATGTCTAAAGTTTCCTGAATTTTTGATTTTTTTTAAATTTTATTATTATTATACTTTAAGTTTTAGGGTACATGTGCACAATGTGCAGGTTTGTTACATATGTATACATGTGCCATGTTGGTGTGCGGCACCCATTAACTTGTCATTTAGCATTAGGTGTATCTCCTAATGCTATCCCTCCCCCCTTCCCCCGACCCCACAACAGTCCCCTGTGTGTGATGTTCCCCTTCCTGTGTCCATGTGCTCTCATTGTTCAATTCCCACCTGTGAGTGAGAACATACGGTGTTTGGTTTTTTGTCCTTGAGCTACCTCTTTCATTAAATATTTTTCCCTTCACTTCTTGTATCATTTTTTGGATTTCTTTGCATTGGGCTTTGCCTTTCTTTGGTTCCTCCCTGATTCGCTTAATAACTAACCTGAATTCTTTTTCAGAAAAGTCAGGGACTTCTTGGTTTGGATCCATTGCTGGTGAACTAGTGTAATTTTTTTGGGGTGTTGAAGAGCCTCATTTTGCCATACTACCAGGTTTGGTTTTCTGGTTCTTTCTCATTTGGGTAGGCTGTCAGAGGGAAGGTCTAGGGCTGAAGGCTGTTGTTCAGATTCTTTTGTCCCATGTGGTGTTTCCTTAATGTAGTACTCTGCACCTTTTCCTGTGGGTGTGGCTTCCTGTGAGTCAAACTGTAGTGACTGTTGTCTCTCTTCTGGGTCTAGCCAGCTGGTGAGTCTACACAGTTCTGGGCTGGTACTGGGGGTTGTCTGCACAGAGTCCTGTAATGTGAACCATCTATGGGCCTCTCAGCCGTGGATACTTGTGCAGTTTTTTGGGGGGTCTCCCAGGTCCTGCAGGAGCAGTTGGCTTCCTTCAGAGTGTCTGTGGGTCCTCTCCTGTACCACAATTTCTTTATCCAGTCTGTCATTGATGGGCATTTAGGTTGATTCCATGTCTTTGGTATTGTGAATCATGCCACGATGAACATTCATGTGCATGTGTCCTTATGGTAGAATAATTAGAATTCTTTGGGGTATATAACCAGTAATGGGATTGCTGGGTCAAATGGTAATTCTGTTTTAAGTCCTTTGAGAAATTGCCAAAGTGCTTTCCACAATAGCTAAACTAATTTACATTCCCACATGAAATGTATAAGCATTCCCTTTTTTTCTGCAACTTTGACACCATCTGTTAATTTTTGACTTTTTAGTAATAGTCATTCGGACAGGTGTGGGATGGCATCTCATTGTGGTTTTGATTTGCCTTTCTCTAATAATTAGTGATGTTGAGCATCTTACATTTTCTCTGTAAGGACAAACTGTCAATTTTTCCAAGATGAAAGAGATCCAGTTTAGTCGAGTTGCCACCAAGTAACTGGCTAATCTCCTGCAGAAATAGTGCTATATGGGGACTCAGCACTCATGGCAGGCTGGACATTCAGCATGACAGTAGGTAAATAGGCCTGGACAGGTGAGAGTCCATGTTAGATCCCTGTGCAGACTCCAATACTGCCACCTCAGTGCCTTTGTTCATATGCCCATCATGCCATTTCTTAGCGGCTGATAAGTAAGACTGGCTAAAGTCGACTGGCTAAAGTCAACTGGCTACGTCATTTTGTCTACTTGATTCTTCAGTGCTTTTCCCATGATGGATGCTTTCTAGTAGATGTTAACATGTTATACAAAAAGTTTCATAATTTGAGCCCACTCGCATATGTTTATGCACATGCCTTACTAGAGATCTCCTCATCTCTGATCTTTCAGTCCTTTTATTTCTAGGCTATTGTTGATCAGCTGACCGGGCCATTGACTACTACCCAGAAATACACATGCACACACATGTACACCCACCACACACCCACATATATCTCTTTCTTTCAGGTCACTTCTCCTTCCATACAAAGTATATCTGAACCACTTGTAGCTTCACCAATTAGAAACATTTTTTTTTTCTCTCCGCTATTTTTCAAGACCACCCCTGAATGCAGTTATAGTACAGTAGCCATCATTTTTGATTTTACACTCACATGCTGAGCTGACCCATCCAACAACCAAATTTGGATGTTTTCCTTCTTCAGCTGGTTATACAGGACCTCATATGGCCATATTGAAACGGGAAAGGTTCCCTTGTCCCCTTCACATGACATACAATGGAGATGTGGCTTGCTTCTTCAGTGCCCTGCTACTCAAGCCTCCAGGGGAACATACAGACGAACAGGCTGTGGGGCTGCAACCCCACAGCAGTGTCTAGGGGTGAATGTTTACAACTCCTGAAGCTCTAGTGGGCACGTGTTACAGGGTGCTCTCTTATTTTGCTATCTGTAGATGACTTGTGTTAACCATATCAATTAGACCCTCTACCTTGTCGCAAGGACAGAGGGCTTACTGTATCCCGGATTCTTGCCTTGGTGTACTGGAAGAACTGGATCACTTGTGGGCTTGGAGAATGAGTATAAAGTTTTATTGAGTGGAAGTAGCTGTCAGCTGATGCGGGAGCCAGAAAGGAGATGGTTTTCCCCTGGAGTTGGGCCCCTCTGTAGTCCTGGCTGTACTCCGACTTCCCCAGTCAAACCCCGCCTCATCCCACCGGTCGATGGCCTGCCAGCGTGCCAGTGCCTGTTGGTGTGCGCTTCTGCCCATGTGCTCCTCTCGACATTCTCTCGATGACCAGCTGCTTGCATCTTCTTCTGCCGATGTGCTCCTCTCTACATCTGGCCACCTGTGTGTTTGCCTGCTAGGGTCTGGGGTTTTTATAGGCCTAGGATGGGGGCATGGCAGGCCAAGGTGGTCTTGGAAAATGCAACATTTGGGTGGGAAAGTAGGAGTGCCTGTCCTCACCTATGTCCATGGTGATGGAGCCCTCGCCAGGGACCCGTGTTTCTCTACCCAGCACTTCCCTTCCCAGCACTCCCGTATCACCACACGTCCACATATATCTCCTTCCTTCAGGTCACTTTTCCTTCCATACAAAGTATATCTGAACCACTCACAGCTCCACCAGTTAGAAACATTTTTTTTCTCTCCACTATTTTTCAAGACCACCCCTGAATGTAGTTGTAGTACAGTAGCCATCGTTTTAGAATTTATGCTCCCATGCTGAGCTGACCCATCCACAAACAAATTTGGACGTTTTTCTCCTTCTTCAGCTGGTTATACAGGACCTGCATATAGCCATATGAGCAAGGTACAGGAGGGACACTGTTGTAACCATGGTATCTGACACTAGGGGCTGGGCTACCTGCTCCTGCAGCTTACTCTTCCTTTCTGCTCCAGTGTGCTTTTCATCCTGGTGCAACATTTCTTTCTTATGAATGACTGCTGCTGAGCTTGTTCAACTTTATTACTTGAAAGGTCTGATAAAATGTGCTGATATAACCATGGGCACTGCTGAATGCGTGGTCACTTAATGTCCCAAGTCAAGCATTCCATCTGCACCTGGGCCTAGCAACATGTCAGAAGCTATTTCATGAAAGGTCTACAATTCTCCTATTAGGGTTTACCATAATTTTGACATTGCATCTTTTTCTAGTAACACTTCTTATATCATAATGGCTGCTGGGCCACATGGTCCAAGCAACAAGACTGCTTGCACTGCAGTCTGGACCTGCTTCACAGCCCCTTCCTGCTTTGAGCTCCATTCGAATCTAGTAATTTTCCATGTTATGCATTGTATCAGCCAGAAAAGTATCCCTAGGTATGGAACATGTTGCCTCCAGAGCCAAAAGAAGCCTGTTGGACTTTGTGCTTCCTTATTTGTAGTTGAGGATGCCAAATGCAGCAATTTGCGTTTTACTTTAGAGGGGATGTTTCTGCAACAAGTGCACCCCTGAAAACTTTACTACGTGGTAGGTCCCTGAATTTTCAATGAATCAATTTTCCATCATCTTGAGTCCAGATGTCTTACTAAGGTTTCCAGGGCTCTAGACATCTCACGTTCATCCTGCCTGCTAGCTATGAAGTCATTGATGTAATGGATCAGTGTGGTTTTCTGTGGCATGTTGTGACAGTCCATATGTGATTGGATGATACTATCTATGACAGAAGACAGGACAGTTTTTATAGCCTGAGGGTAAAACTGTATATGACCATCATTGTCCATTTCAGGTAAATACAACAGAGTCTGATCCCTTTTCATGACTACAGAAGGCCTTATTCTTCAGCTTTAGCAATAAAATTGTGTTTGGTCTGGTGGATATGATCAGGCTACTATGTGGTTGGGCTTCTGGTAGTCTACAGCAGGGGTTCTCAACCCCTGGGCCATAGACAGGTACTGGTCTGAGGCCTGGTAGGAACCAGGCTGCACAGCAGGAGGTGAGTGGTGAGTCAGTGAGTGAGCAGCATTACTGCCTGAGCTCCACCTCCTGTCAGATCTGTGGCAGCATTAGAGTCTCATAGGAGTGCAAACCCTATTGTGAACTGCACATGCAAGAGATCTCGATTGTGCACTACACATGAGAATCTAATGCCTGATGATCTGAGGTGAGTTTCATCACAAAACCACTCCTCCACCCCACCCCCATCTGTATAAAAATTGCCTGCCATGAAACTGGTCCCTGATGCCAAAAAGGTTGGTGACCACTGGTCTACAGCCATTCTCTCTAATCTATCCAGTTTCTGCAGGGGTTAAACCGATGAATTACACAAAGGTATGATAGAGGCTACACTCCTAAAACACTGAGCTTTAATCATGCAAGTAGCAATAATCCCTACCATCTTTTCATGATATAATATTGTTTTTGATTTACTATCTTGCATGAAGGGTGGGGATAGTTCTAGAGGCTTTCACTCAGCCTTTGCCACTATGATAGTGCTTACCCCACCTGGCCATGAACTCTAATTTTGAATCTTGACTATACACTCATGGAAATGACCGCTTGATTTATCTGTGTACCCAGTGACCCCACTGTATGTTGGATTTTATCAGTGATTCCCTTTATTACCTGGACCCACTCTAATGATGAGGTTGTTATGATAATTGTTTGTGTCTCTGGGTATCAATGTCAACTCAGAATGTTATGTCCAATAGTCCTCAAAATGTTGGATAATACCCTTTCTCCAGCCATTATCTGAGTAAATGGCTGCAGGCTCCCCTGTGGAAGAACTAAGTGCTTTTTTCCCCCTACCATATAGGCTTTCTCAGGAAATGAGAAAGGAATTATGCCTTTTCAGTGGAGTGACCACTCTAAGCTCTCTGCTCTTTCACTGTTGCTAGATATTAAGCAGCACTCTTATTGTTGTCAGTCTGTTTATTCACTAGGATATGACAGCTTATTAGCCATCTTCTCAAGTCCCTGTGGGTTGCCAGTCATTATGATAATTGTGGTCTTTGGCTTCTGACAGTGAAATGCTACCTCCCAGCCTCTGTTACCCCCTTGGCTATTCATGGCCCAGGCTTGGCGACCACCTCCCCTGATGTAGCCCTGGCTTGCAGAGGAGCCCCTGCTGCACTTCTTAGTGAGGTTGGTGCCCCTCTCACCAGTGCATTCCTGGTAGCCTAGGGGAATTCTGCATCCTCTGGGACCTCCCACGGAGCATTATCCTCAGTTGGATGTTCATTCCAGCATGTCTACCTTTTAGAGCTTTTTCATTCCATCTGCTACTGTCTGCCATATCAACTCTGGCATTTCAACTTTGCTCAGCATGAGCCACTGCTTTCTCTAAGCTTCTAAAAGTCCCCCTAACAGTGAATTTTGCCTTATTTCCCAGGGCTCTTGCCAGGACATTAAACTCACATCACAAGAAAATGTCTCCAAATGAATGAATTATTGTTCATTCAGTATTATTTTCAGGTTCTCTTGACCAAGCACCCTCAAAATCTAGTCCCAAGATTCTCCCACTGCTCCTGTTGGTTCATGATTTCTACTTCTTGCTTGCTGTTCCTTTGGTGTGTAAAGTCTTTCCTGCCTTATTTGGTCCCATATGTCCCTGGCTGGATTATGCTGGGATTGACCCTCAGGATCAGAATTGCAGCTGAAAGAGCAGTGAGGGCAGCGGGGGGGCCCTGGTCTCCTGCAGCAGAGAGAGGCCTCTGCAGTGTCTCCTGCATGAGAGGAGTGCCGTCTGTTAATGGGGCTGGGTCACCTCTGCAAACTACATGGTTTCAGGGTAGTCTTCAGAGCCCCAATCCTTAGGGGCATCTACCTAGTTTATCCTCACTGCCCCATACCTTCTCAACCTGAACCTTGACCTTAGCATACCAGAAATGTCTTGGCTGGTCACTTAAATGATTCTGGAGCTCCATGAACCTAATTCTTAGGTCCCGTGCTTGCTCCTTCTCTGTGTCTACTTTTGCATTGCACAAAATAAGAAATATTCAGAAGCTACTAAAAAGGTCCTCTGGCTCTTAAACTCAACATTAATTCTCCATTAAGTGACTCAAGTTTGTCATTATCCTTCTGTAGAGTGTCAGGGCAACTTAGTAATAACTAGCTAATTCTTCTGTCCCTTCATGCATTTTTTCACCATAGATTTCAAATGACTGAATACCAGTCACAGTGTTCCTTCCATTGAGTCATTTTTTCCAGGTCAACGCTACTAAAATTTTTAGCAGTTGGCCTCTCTCCTTGTGCAGAGACTATCTGTGCCTCCTCCTAGTTGGGCAGCAAGGTATCTGCTATATCAGATCACTTCTGGTACCAAGTATCAGCTTACATCCTCTGGGAAGGAAATACAAATATGGAATTAGATGTGCAAGAGATTTACTGGGAGAAATGTCCATAGATAATACAGGAGAGAAAGAGAATATGAGTGTGATGTCTGACACCTGTAAAGGGAGATAAGAAAGGAGGATGGGGTGGGCAGAGCCTCAGACTGCAGTGCAGCTCTGAGAAGGCCTCTGGCAGGTTGATGGGTAGCCCCAGAGAAAAGATCGCCTGTTACAGAAGTCCCCTTTTGGGCAGGGGATGTGGCAGCTTTAGAACCACCGATGTACTCTGTCATTGGCTGTGAGCAGTCTGGGTATAGTGTGGCCTCCATATGAATGCTGAGGTGGCTTCATGGTATAGCACCAGAGACTGTCTGATGAGTATGCTCCTTGAAGTAGATTTTCCCTTCAAGGGGCATCTGAGGAGCACGCTCCAAAGGCTGCACAGTTGTGTTTCATGTGTGGAAGCACCATAATTTTACAGAAGAGAAAAATAATAATTACTCATTTTCCCCTTACATACTAAAATTGTCCAATTACCCACAATATTTGGATGGCTTTTAAAGCCATGGATGCCTAATGTGAGCAATTTCCTCTCATCATAGGTCCTTTATTCTTGACCATAACTATTAGCTCAGAACTCTTTGTTTTATACTTATAGTTTAAATTATTTATTGCTAAATGCATTACCTTGCTTTCCCATATTAAAATTTATCTAACCAGTTTTCTACATGCTATTATGAATTAAATGACCTTTTCACAGGGTATCCCTACCACTATAATTTGTATAATGGGGAGCATATTTATAGTTTTTCTTTTATAATGAATATTTGCAAGTTTTGATAAATATTTCTCTAACTTGAATCCAAATTTCTCTAAGGATTTATTTATGGATATGTTTTAGGCCATTTTGAGATGTTTGAAAAGAAACTTCTGAGGATGTCCCTTTACACAGCAGCAGGAGATTTGCTCTCTGTGTCAGCCCTTGCATCTCTGTACTGGAGAGACTAACTGGCAATCTATAAGCTGAAAAACCTGAAAGGTACATGCCATCTCCTGGAATTTCTTACATACAGAGTCATTTCTTAAGAAGTAATTTTTTTTTTTTTTAGTGAAACTGTCTTGCTACCTCAGACTTACTGCATCTGTGGTAAGTGAAAAGGCAACAATGCCTGATTATGCATGAGGTACATTTGAAGAGGCTATGCTTGATATTCTAGATGATCATGGAGAAGGTTGATCACTTAAGTCCAAGATGTTATTACAAGCTAAGTAAGACAGCTGTTCTCTTTCTATGTAATCTTTTACATGTACCATAACTCTCTGCAGCATGAGGCAATGCACCCATGCTCATTTTCAACCTACTCCAGGTTGCTAGCAATGCAGTCAATATCCAGAGGAAATCTGTGCAAGTCCCTTTCTTTAATGGTAAGGAATTTGACCAGCTTGATTAGTTTTATTTGGCTGTATAATTTCTATTTATATCTAAGCTAAAATTTATGACTTCCCTGATCTGTCTCTGGACTATATGCATATATTTTTGAAAAGTTCTCTATTCCCTCATCTGCCACTTGGGTAGGAAAGAGTTTATGCAGAAAACTTGCTCTGGTAACTACTTTTTGATTCTTAGGCTGCATTAGTTTCTGGTTTTTTAATTCATGCAACCATTCAGATACCCACCGATCCTTGTGTTCCTTCCATGGTAGAGTTATTACTGGAAGCAGCTGCTTAGTAGGAGACTATGTTTCCCAGCTATGTCAGTGCCTAGATATGGCCTTGTGACTAGTTCTTGCTAATGGACTGGAGCAGAAATGATGTGTGTTACCCTCCTTTCTGCTGGAAGGATGCACAAAAAGATAAAGCCCTCAGGGATGGCACATTCCCAATACAATGAAACACAGGTCTCTGAATTATATGCAAAGAAAATCTCCCTACTCATCTGAAATAACTATGTTGCACTGAGGGAGAAATGAACTTCTATTCCATAGACCACTGGAATTCTAGGGTTTATTTACCGTAGTTACTGACATTACCCTAACTAACGCAAGTCTTTTCAGGCAAAGAAAGACCTTGAGCATAGTTTTAGAAAATATCACTGCATTTACCTTGAGCTTAGGACTATCTCTGGGCATGAATAGGCAGAAGAATTTATAATGTTCTGTAGGAGAGGTAAAACAAAAAAGTGTAACTTTTTATAAAAAACGAAATAAGATTGAAATACTTTTGGGTAGAAACATCATATTTTATAATGAAAATGATAAGAATATATTATAAACCACTAGACCAAGATAAGTGTGACTGAGGTTCAAACAAACAGACAAAAGGTTTGGGTGAGCTGCAAATACAGGTCAAGGTATAAATCCAAAAGCTTCATTTAACAGGAAACAGACTTGTGGGATGTTTTATCAGCCTGAAGATAAGGGAAAGGTTTTGGATAAGATGAAAAACTGGGCCAAAAGAGGATGTTTAGGAATTCATGGTTTAGCAGGAACAAATCTAGAAAGGGCCAGTGGGTGAACCAGTAAGAAATGGCAATCATAGACTATTAAACCAGCATCTGAAATGTGGAAAGTAAGCACCACAGATGTGTTCATTTTTCTCATCTATACACTAGTAAAATCCAGCTAAAAGTAAAGATCTAGAAAGCCCTGAGAGAGGTTAAACAATGTTATTCTCTTAGCTCTTTAAAAGTTATAAAACACTTTTACATACATTATGTCATATGTTTCTTATGATGTCTCTGAGAATTAGAAATGTTGGATATTATTATCAGAGTGATAAAGATAAAGAATTGAGGCTCAGAAAATATAAACAATTCTCTACACCAGGGCTTTCTACGGACAGTAGCAAGGATGGTATTTGAATCCAAGGCTAGTGACTCTTAAATACTTTTCCCCACCCCACACTTTTGTAATAAAGGCATTATGGACATATGGGTCTAATCTGAACATGAAGACTCTCCTGAGAAATCTCATGGAATGATTCAGGGAACTCCTACCCACTGCCTTGAGGATGCTGGGCTATTTATGGACTAAATTTTTGTATGCTTATGAAACTCAGAACTAAATTAGCATGAGCTGTGAAGAAAGTTCTATGCAAGCACCAAAGAGAAGTGTTGAGAACTCTTTCTAGTCAGATGGGCTGCATGTGTCAGAAGTCTTTGAAGAAAATGTATTTGGTAACTGGCTTTTCAGCTTTATGAATTAAAATATATTTGGAATAATGTCATTTGAAGAGATACTATAATAAGCTTTCCTATTTTTAAAATAATGCTTTGCAGTTTTCAAAACATTTATACTACATTTTCCCCCTATTTATTCTGTAAAACTCTCTGCCTGTTTTGACCCCTGGGCGGGTGTTAAGAATATGAATAAGTGAGTCTCTACCCACAAGGAGCTGAGTGAAAGTCCACTAGAAGGTCCAGACAAGTTAATGGATGTGACATTTGCATGTAATCAAGTGTCCTGACACATTTTATTGCAGGGAAATACATGGGTTGACCTAAAGACAATAGTAAAAATATTAAAAATTCATGGAGAGTCAATCACAATTTTATAATGACATCATTACTGAAACATTTAGTTTTGATGACAGGATGTTAGACAGAAGCAGTTGGAATTCTGAATTCTTCTCCAGTTTTCTAATAGTCATCTGTTTTTCCAGTTATATTCTCTCCTCTCTTCTCATCATGTTGTCCTCTCTCTCACTCTCTCTCCTTCTACTCGTAAGCCTAATCTCACTCCCCTACAGTGTAATGATAGTTTGAATATCACAGTCTTTGGAGTAAGGCTGCTTGGGTTCAAATCTGGGCTCTGTTACTTACTACTTGTGTCACAGTCTACCTATAATCTGTGTCTTAATCTTCTTGCCTAGAAAATGTTTTTCACCTTGTTAGGCTGTTGTGAAGATTTAATGAGTTTATAAACATGTAGCAGTTAGAGCCTGACCCATGCAAGTGCTCTGTTGTTATTAGTTCCCTGTTGCAGCTGTAACAAATTACCACATTCTTAGTGACTTCAAACACCCACTGATTATCTCACAGTTCTCTAGATCCGAGCCTTCTGCCAGGTTCTCTGCTTAGGGTCTTACAAAGCAGAAATAAAGGTGTTGGCCAGCCTGGGCTCCTTATCTGGAGCCTCTAAGGAAGGATCTTGCTTACAGGCTTATTCAGGTGATTGGGCAAAATTCAGTTCTTGTCGTTTTAGGACTGAGGTCGCTGTTTCCTTGACATGTGGGTCCCTCCACTTTTAAGCCATCAATGTCATGTTGAATCCATCTTGTGCTTTGAATCCCTCAGACTTCTGCCTCATCTCTCTGGTCTCTCTATTTTGCCCTCCTCCTATGTGTTGTTGTTGTTGTTGTTGTTGTTGTTGTTTTTGAGACGGAGTCCCACTCTGTCGTCCAGGCTGGAGTGCAGTGGCGCGATCTCCGCTTACTGCAAGCTCCGTCTCCTGGGTTCATGCCATTCTCCTGCCTCAGCCTCCTGAGTAGCTGGGACTACAGGCACCCGCCACCACTCCCGGCTAATTTTTTGTATTTTTAGTAGAGATGGGGTTTCACCATGTTAGCCAGGATGGTCTCGATCTCCTGACCTCGTGATCCGCCCGCCTTGGCCTCCCAAAGTGCTGGGAATACAGGCGTGAGCCACCGCGCCCAGTCCTTCCTCTGCTTTTAAGGGCTCAGGCTTATGTGATTACAGCGCACCTACTTGGATAAACCAGTTATAAACTCTCTATCTTAATTAGTAAAGAGCTCATTAGTAACCTTAATTACATCTGCAAAGTCTCTTTTGCCATGTAATGTGACATTCACAGGCATAACATGGGGGTTGGGGGCAAAGGCTATGGGAACCAAAATTCTGCCTACCACCGGTTGTTCACCATTATTATTGTTATTATTTAAATGAGTGAAGGACTAACAGGGCAAGAGAGTAGAATGTTCTGGACAATTGAGTTTTTTAGTGAATTGGAGGTTATTTCATTGAAAGAGTTGAACTTTAAGGGTAAAGGCTGTAATGCTATGATAAATAAACTCAAATATTAAACTCATATTTGTGTGGACTTATGTAATACTGAGCTCCATATTTTTAAGTGTAATATTCCATCTCTAAATCTTAACACAAATCAGTCAAAACACTTTCAAAAATATTTATAATATTAAGAACATTTCTGATTCAAAAATTGAATAAAATTAGTGAGAAGGAGAAGTCTTTTTACAAAATTCCACTTGGGGAAAGTTTCAGAAATCTGAGAAGTTATAGACCTTTCAAATGTAAATTTTATTCTGAAATATAGACTACGATTGATTTCTGATGAAATAACTAGGAATGATGACATATTATTAAATGCTTAGGCTTCAATATACAGTGAAAGCTTTACACTGTAACTACTAGATACTTCACAGTTAAAATAAACCTAATTTAGATCTTGCTAGAAATTAAAAACAGCTTCAATGAATAATGAGAAAGAAAATAAAAAATAAAACATAGTTTAAGTACTTCTGCATGTCTGCAATATGAAGCTGGATAACTAATTCACATGGATAAACTATTTCTAAATATATTTTCTTCTTTCAGTTTTTGGACTTAAGATAGGCAGCTTGTAAATGTAGATATTCAAATCTTCTGGGCATGGTTAATTCTCCCTATGATATGGTTTGGCTGTGTCCTCCCCCAAATCTCATCTTGAATTATAACTCCCACAATTCCCACGTGTCTTGGGAGGGACCCAGTGGGAGGTATTGAATCATGGAGGTGGGTCTTTCTTATGTTGTTCTTGCAATAGTGAATAAGTCTCATGAGATTTGATCATTTTTTAAAAGAAGGGTTCCCCTGCATAAATTCTGTCTCTTTGCCTGCTGTCATAGATATAAGACATGACTTGCTCCTCCTTGCCTTCCACCATGATTGTGAGGCCGCCCCAGCCATGTGGAACTGTTAGTCCTTTAAAGCTCTTTCTTTTGTAAATTGCCCAGTCTCAGGTATGTCTTTATCAACAGTGTGAAAATGGACTAATACATCCAAGCATCTGTCCATGGTTACGTATCTCACCATGGGGCTAGTTATTTGTATATATGTGTAGTACAGAAGACACCTCACATTTTGTTCTGGATGGTGAATCTGTATACCTGTGCATACATGTATATACACAAGTGCATTGATGTGCGTGTGCACGCGCACACACACACACACAATGATTTACACGATCAACTAAATGATTTTGAAATTGTTTCTTTCTTTTTTTCTTTTTACTTAACGTGTAATCTGCATACTATTGCCAGCACATCAGCTATCTTTAAACAGAGACATGCCTCTGGAAAAGAAATGGATAGAAATAAGTAATGAGTATGTCTAGACCTTCTAATGAATTATACCATAATTTGCAGTGTTTTTTTCTATTTTGCTCCCATTTCCCATCCCTATATTTTTCCCTATCCATTTTTAGATCTAACTTGTCAAAGTCTCTTTCTGTGTATGTTTGCTCATGCAGTTACTGCTTTTCTCTCATTTCCCTTACATTAACCAGATTTCGGCACAATTCAGCCTTTGCCTGGTGTCCTGGAATAGGGTGATTTGGATAAAAAATTCCATCTCCTGCTTTATAAGGACAAAATGACATTTAAACATCCAGGGGTTTATTTATGCAAATATCAAATATCAGTAGTGACTATGAGTCACTATGAAATTTCCCAAATCTCCTTTTAGCTATAATTAATAATTTACAGGTTGAAGGATACATGCTGGATTATGATCAAATCCTTCAGAAGAGAAGATGATGGGGTGATGGCCTTTCATTATTTAGCATCCATTTATGTGATATCACTGAGACTTTTGGCATAGTTTTCATGCCCAAAATGTTTTTAACATCTGCATGACTGTTCCTTTTTCAAGACTAAAGATTCAGTATTCATTAATCTCTCAAACCCCAATTGGCCTTCAGAAGCAGCTGAATGCTTTCTTTGAGCAGTGCACAAAATATAATCTCAAAATAAATCACATGAAGTGTAAGGTAATGGTTTTTAGTTCTAGGAAATGCAAGAGTTCCTGGTATGCTTAGGGAGTTAAGTTTAATGTGGTGAAATATTTTATGTGGCTTTGCATTATCTTTCACCTAAATCTGTCATGAAAAAAGCAAGAAAAGTTAAGGATCTCAGCAACAATGGGCAGATTAGATTTAGCAGGGAATGAATTGATATTCATTTTTATGATCTATCTACCTAAAGCAGGTTTCCAGATTCTGTGTTGTTTAGAAATGCATAATCCAGGATGGTAGGCACATTAAAGTTGCTTTTGGAAAATGAGGATGACATTTATTTGACATAAGAGGTGCTTAATCTCTGTTAGGTAAACCAGATTTGGAAAAAACAGGTTTTTATTCATTCATTTGGCTCATTTATATTTTTCATTTATTATTAGTATTATTATTTTTTCTTTTTTTTTTTTTGAGACAGAGTCTCCCTCTGTCACCCAGGCTGAAGTGCAGTGGTATGATCTCGGCTCACTGCAACCTCCGCCTCCCAGGTTCAAGCAATTCTCTGCCTCAGCCTCCCAAGTATCTGGGATTACAGGCACCTGCCACCAGGCCCAGCAATTTTTTTTTGTATTTTCAGTAGGGATAGGGTTTCATCATCTTGACCAGGCTGGTCTTGAACTCCTGACCTCATGATCCAACCACCTGGGACTCCCAAAGTGCTGGGATTACAGGCGTGAGCCACTGTGCCCAGCCTATTTTGCAGTTAATAATAATTTTTTTAAAAATTTTTATTGTTTCTGTACCTTTGGTAAGATAATCAAAATGAATGGATCAAGTGGGCTGCAAGCAAGGAGGCTATGCCCATAGGCATGAAATGAACAGTTTACAAGAGAAATGAGGTATACTGAACTGAACCCAACCAGAATGCCATTATATATAGAAATAGGGTATCAAGATAATTTAGTAAGAGTAATTTTATTTAGTGTGAATTATAAATGTGTGCCAAGTAACTCCATAAAAGGTGGCTTTTTGTTTGTTTGAAGCTGTGATGAATGACAGTTTATGTTATACTCTTTTCCTTTACAACATTCATTACTTTGGGTATCTTGAGTGTATATGGGTTTTGTGTCCATTATTAATTTAAAGGGAAATGTAAGCAAATTCTGATGTTCTACTTTTATGGCCAAATCATATTATTATGGACTGTAGGAGTTTGACCAATTTCTTAATTTGGATTTTAATTTTATGTCAAATACTAACAAAAATTAATTTCAACTAGTAGCTTAGAAATTTTCTTATTTTTAATGTGGATTTTCATTACAATGGAATTTATTTTGGAAGCATTTGATCTGCAAAAAGCATACATAATGTTTATTAATGTTTAAATATTTCTTCACTGTATGATGAACAGATTTTTTGTGTGTCCTCTGGTGAGGAAAATAAAAACACTTGGTGTAAAAAATTTACTATGTTAAGAAAAATCTAAAAGCAATATTCGAGGAGCTTTTTTTTATAAGACAGAATCATAAGGATAATACTAAGAAGATCAAGAAAATTTGCTTTAAACCCTTAATCATTGATCAAAATGAAAAGAGTCAAGCCTCAAACCTTCATATTCAAATATAATCCAACATTTAGCTGATTATTATCTGGAAAAATTATTTCTAAAATTTGATGGTCATTAAATATTATGCATGACTTAGCATGCTAAAAACTAGTTAACTCTAAGTATGTTGAAGCAGAATTTTATGGTTTTTCAGCAAAGTGTGTCTACAATTAGTCTTAAAGTGAAACACGGGGAAAAATGAAATGGGAAAAATGTGATGGAAAGGCTGAGCCTATTTGTCAGGTGCAGGGAGCAAAGAGGTGAGCAAAAACCTTTTAAGAGTTAAGGAAATACATAAAACCTCAAAGAAATGATCCAGAAGTGTTATTTTCAAGTGTATTATCATTATTCTCAAAGGATGGTTTAGACCTTATAAATAACTTTACAATTAGATAATAAAAATCATAAGACATGCACTCTTCTAATCCATTGTAAATGGCTGCTTTTAAGGACATGGTTGCCTCAAATGCACATTTTCAGTCTCAAGAGCTTGCCAATGAATGTTTTATCTATTCAGAATGCTATGAGAATTAGTAAGTTACAATAGTGAAACTGACTTGAAAACAGTTGAAAATTTAAATAGTGCCTTTGATTTCTATTAGGTCCTGATAGCAGAGAAATTGGGAAGCAAAATTCCGATGTTTGTAATTTATCACTGGCATGGTTAAACCACCTCAAAAATGTGCCTTAATTCTTATATTTCCCAATAAGCTGATGTAGATATTCCTGTTTGAATGATGCTCTTTCATTTTCCCCCGTATTTTTCTTTATTTGACTAAAAAGTCAAAACTTTTACAAAGGTTTATTTCCCCCGTGTATTTCTTTATTTGACTAAAAAGTCAAAACTTTTACAAAGGTTTATTTCCCCCGTGTATTTCTTTATTTGACTAAAAAGTCAAAACTTTTACAAAGGTTCTTATGAAAGACACCTCTTTACTACTCTCCCTAGAGGAAACCACTTCCAGCTAATTATTTTGTTACTTGTCTCTCTGTTGCTGAGTGTTATAGTTGTAGTATTATCTCTGAGTTTTCAGTGTCAGGTATAATCTGTTGACTTCCCACTATCGAAAAGGTGGTTTTTGCTCACCTCATTGTTCCCTGCACCTCTGACAAATAGGCTCAGCCATCCCATCTCTCCACCTTCCCACTAAAGTTATGTGGTAATTTTGATTAGATAAATACTGACTGTTTACATTATTGTTATGACTATGTAAACACTTCTCACAGCTGACTTATTTAGTGAACTCCATCACTTTTCTTCTCTGGTACAATGTTTAAGTTTTCTACAAAGTGAAAAGCTGTCTGGTTTTGCTTAGTTTTTATGAACACATTACCTTTTCAACCACAAACTTCTGTGCATCAAATATTCTATTAATTTAGTATTCCAGAAGAAGTATTTCCTGAACCCTCTGACCTGCTCCATTCTGGCCTGGTCACCCTCTATGTCTGGTGACTCAGCTGTCATTCTGGGATCTTCTGTCCCCATCATCCTAGGGACTCATTCTTTCTTTCTTGTGTTCTTCCCTATTTCCTGTGCATTTTAAAATGTGTTTTGGTGGAGCAGAGCCTCTAGGCACTCCTTGAGAAAGGATGGATGGGGGTAAAACTTTGGAGACTGCCTCATGTGAAAACGTCTTTAACTTTTTTAGACCTTATTGAGAATTTGCCTTGGTATAGAATTCATTTTCCATCAGAAATCTGAAGTCATTTCTTTCTTAGCTTTTGATGCTCCCAGTTTCTGAAGTTGCTGCTGAGAAGAGTCTGAAGCCATTTTGATTCCTGTTCCTTTTTAGGAGAACTATTTCTTTTTCTTTCTGAAAGCTTGTTGAATCTTCTCTTAGTCCTCAGTATTCTGAAGTATCGAAATGATGTGCTCAGATACAGGTCTATTTGTCTCCATTACATCAGACATTTAATGTTTCTTTCATCTTGGAATCTTAAGGTCCTTCAATTTTGAAAATTGTTTTTGAACTATTTTATTTGTAATTTTCTTCCCTTCTTTTTCAGTTTTCCATTTATGGAATACTATTTAAAACTGGACCTTCTGGATTGATCTTTTCATTTTTCTTGTTACTTTCATTTTTTTAAAATTTAAAATTATTTTTGCTACTCTTCTTGTTTGCTGTTACATGAAATCAATGTTTTCTTTGTATTCTTGCCTCTGAGGATGATTTCTAAGAAGGTTTTTATTTCTACTAGTTGTTATGTTTATAATTTGAAACAATTTCATTAAATCTGTATTTGTCAGTTTACCAGCTCATGTACATTATGTCCTTCGGAGTCAAGTGACCTGGAAGTCATGCCATCTTTTTAACACTTTGTACTATCAGGTTTTTTTTTTTTTTTTTTTTTTGTGGGGAGGTTGGGGAGGAGGAGGAGATTTTAGTGTTATTTTTTATCATATTTTTGCTACTTGGGAGCTCTTTTGGTTCTCCGAATGTTCCTTTTAGCATAACATCCTGTTTTTCTCCCCACAGTTGTATCTTTTCTTTTGTTTCAATGAGTATTAATAATATACACATTAGAAAACTTCTCTCTTCTTTGCATGGTCTATTTTCTTCATGTTGCTTTTCCAATTTTTCTTACCTTTCATGTTTCAGGCTTTCCTCAGATATCTTGTAATTCTGGAGGGCCAAGAAAGTTGATTGGAAACTCTGAGGCATGAGTGGGTCTTATCATCTCAGAACATCACATTAGGATGATGCAGTGGAGCCTTTTAGTCTTGTGACCTTTAAATACATTATCTTGAAGTGCTAAGTTTTCTCAGAGATGATGTTTCCAGTCCTCTGCCTGGAGAGTGAAGGCCTAGCTGCTACTTTTTTGGAAGCCAACTAAGGAAGGACAGCTGGAGGTCTTAGTCAGCAGTGGACATACTTAATCCCCCTCTTTTCACCATGTTACCTCTGCCCTTGACTCTGTAGTTCAAAGCCCTCCCTGTTTTATTGCTTAAAGAGAACATGCCTCCAGTATTGTGCAATCATGGGAGACGTGCAGTCGTTTGGCTGCCTAAATCTGAGGAGGCCTCTGATGGATTCGATTGCTTTTAAAAATCCTCATTGTTTTAGCTCTTTCCTTCTCACACTTATAATGATATCTAATGCTACCATATGCTTAGTCTTTGGAGGATTCTGTATTATAAATCCAATGAGTTTTCAGCTTTCCTTGTTGTTAGTATGAGATTCAGTTTTCTGGGGTCTGTTAAGTCCTTTGCCAGTTGAACATCTGCTTTCCAGCTTCTAAACTTTCATTGTTGCTTCTTCTTTCCTTCTCCCTGTGTTTGGGGGTTTACGCTTTGGGAAAGAAATCAATTTAATATTGTCTTAGTGAAATTTCAGGAGGGACCAAGATTAGATGTGTGTTCAATCTGTGGCAGATTATATTTTCCAAACATAGTCATGACAATATCACTTACCTCTTATGTTCCTTTGGTGAGACTTTGACACTTCTCCCATCAAGAGGTGGGTCCTATTTTCCCTTCTTTTGAATCCTGATGGACTTTTGACTGTGGCGGAAGTGGTGTTTTATAACTTCTGAGGTTAGGCCATAAAAACTGATACAGCTTCTGCTGGTTCTCTAGGGATACTTGGTCTTGGAATTGAGCCACTACAATGTGGAATATAGTGAGAAAGGTGGACAGTTTTTAAAGCTGTCGTGGAGGAGAGAGACAGAGGATATGTCTTTTTGGAAGCAAGTTGTAGAATCTATTCTTCAACTCTAGCTTGTGATACATTGGATGTTGAGATGTTATGGGAACTTATCCCTCAGTTATAGCATTTTAGGTATAGAATCATATAACTTGATTTGCAAAGATCCACTGGATTATAGCCTTTTTATGAATGTCTCATGATGGAAAGTAAAGACCATTTCTATAAGACACTGTTGTATTTGCTTATCAGTTTGGTGGGAAAACAAAGCAGCACAAGCGCATATTAACACTGAATAATACATTCAGGAACAATAAGCTTTTTAAGGCTTTGGAGATGTCTTAAAGTAATACATAATTAACTGTCGAATCACTTGTTTAGATTCTGTTCATCATTCTGACTATTCTTGCTACTTCAAAAATATTTGCAAATCCCATGTTTCTTTCTAATATCTTTGTTTTAGAACTTCTGAGATATTTTAAAACTGAAGCTAGTTTTTTAGATATTCTAAGAGTCCTTGTTTGTAGATCCCTGGAAACCATCTTTCTTGGCAAGAATTTTTATCCATATTCTCCCTCTATTGTAGGTGATTTGTATGCTTTCCCCAGGGGATTCATGATTTTCTATATAAATTATTCTGCAAAGCCAGGCTCCTGAGAGAATGATTTCTTCTGCACATGGAAAAAACCCAAGAGCCCATATTTGCTTAGGATAAATAATCTTTAATAGTTTTTAGAAGAAGCTGCACCATGTTGTGTTGTATCTCATCTTCATTCCCAAAGCACCCGAGGGCTCTCACAGATTGCTCACCCTGAACATTAACAATTAAAAAAATTGACACTCATACCAGCCTCCTGCAGGAAATACAACAAGCTCTTTTCCCCTGCATGCAAAAGAGCTCTGAGACGCTGGGAAAATTGTGCAAGCACTTGATTTACTGTTAAATTCAAGTTTCAAAATTCTATCTTACCCTGATCTGAACAATACTTCTCAGTGGTTCCTGAGAAGCTTATGTGTCTGGCACTATTGTGTTTGGTTAATAAAACAGGTAAGGATAGCTAAGACTTTAAGGATCATCATTGGAGGAAAAGCCCTTCTGAACTACTCTTTTTTAATTAAGTTAAGAAACTTAAGAAAGATAAAAACATATATGAACCACAGAGACGCCTTGGCTAAAATAATCTTTTCATCAGCAAAGGATTACTTTTTTGGTGAGGATTTCTCTATTATTCTAAGCAGCAGTACTGAAACTTTATGAATGTCTGAGATCTAGAGAGCTTGATAAAACTCAGATTCTTAGGCTACAATACCAGGTTTTCAGATTCAGTAGGTCTGGGATTAAACCTAGAAATTTGCATTTCTGACAGTTTCCCAGGTGACACTGACACTATTGGACTAGGGAGCCACATGTTGAGAACCATTGCTTTTGGGAACGCTGATACTGAGGGTCACCACTTAATAAATAATAAAGATATTTTTGGAGGTGTTGATGCTTGCAATAGCAACAAAAACTTTTATACTTTGTGATTTAGTTCTGTTGTGGTTTCTATTTTTTCAGTGAAGAGCTGGAGTCTCAGTCTCATACAGCAATTTGCAGTGGAACTCACCTTCATCTTACAAAAAGCAGAAGAGGTTCAGTGATTCAAACAGTAATTTATATTATGTAACATCATGATGCCCAAGTTGACATTCCAGAAAGTACACAAATATTGGGATTGATTGTCAAATTCAATACCTTACATCACTGGGTGTTGGATTGCTCTATAGTAGTTGACTATTTTGAAAAACATGTACTAAATATGATTATTGGCCTATGAATACAGGTATGTGTGAAATACTACTTTTCTTATTTCATGTAAATAATCCTAGGTCCATCTCTGGGTCCTCTGTTTCTGGGCAGTGGCACAACTTTCATTCTCAATAATTTGTAGGTGCTTCCACCCTCCAGGCTTGGGCACAGGTGTCTATGTTCTTAATATCTCTCTGGACATTCGTCAACATTAACCACCTTAATGTCAATGAGGGAGCTCTATTGCCTTGGTACCCTACTGGGCTTAATAATTTTGGTGATTAAACAAATATTTATTGAGTGCCTATTATGCGCCAGGCAACAATTAGTTTTTGGAGATTACATTTCATTACATGATACTTGATAGACATTAAAGAAAACCACAGCAAATATGTGTACTATGAAACATAATCAAATGAACACCCCTAGAGAATTCCCAAGTTAAGAGTTAGAACTTATCCACACTGTTGGCTCTATCTGTGTTTCCTCCCTATTCAATCCACTTGCCTCCCCCACTCACCCTAAATTTTGTGTTTGCCATTCCCTTGTGTTATAGTTTGCTTTCTGTTGCTTATAACAGAATACCTGAAACAGTAATTTATAAAGAAAAATTTTTTTCAGTTATGATTTTGGTAGCTTTTATTAAGGTATAATCAAAACACAATAACTGAATATATTTAAATTGTACAACTTGAAGAGTTTAGACTCTTAAAGCATTTTGGTATATATTTGGAGCAACTAAAACTCTTCTGTTAAAAAATTATAGATTTAGGGGTACATTGAAGGTTTATTACATAGTATATTTGATATACTGATATATCAATACATATATTTGATGTATCGATATATTGATATATGGTATATCGATATCATATATCAATATATATTGATATATTGTGTAATACTGGAGTTTGGGCTTGCAGTGAACCCATCACCCAAATAGTGAACATAATAGCCAATAGGTAGTTTTTCAACCCTTTCTCCCTCTCCCACCCTTCCTACATTTAAGTTGAAAGTGTCTATCATTTCCATCTTTATGTCCATATATACCCATTGACTAGCTCCTACTTATAAGTGAATACATGTGGTGTTTGATTTTCTGTTTCTGAGTTATTTCATGTAGGATACTGGCCTCTTGCTACATCCATGTTGGTGTGAAGGACAAGATTTTATTCTTTTTTATGGCTGTGTAACATTTCATGGTGTATATATGTATCACATTTTCTTTATCCAGTCCATTGTTGACAGACACTTAGATCGATTCCATGACTTTGCTATTGTGAATAGTGCTGCAATAACATACAAGTGCAGGTGTCTTTTTGATAAAATGATTTCCTTTCCTTTGGGTAGATACCCAGTAGTGGGACTGCTGGGTTGAATGGTAGTTCTATTTTTAGTTCTTTGAGAAATCTCCATACTGTTTTCCATAGGGATTGAACTAATATGCATTTCCACCAACAGTATATAAGTGTTCCATTTACTCTGCATACTTGCCAACATCTGTCATTTTTTGACTTTTTATTAATAGCCATTCTGGCTGGTGTGAGATGGTATCTCATTGTGGTTTTAACTTGCATTTCTCTGATGATGAATGATGTTGAGCATTTTTTTATATTTTTTTGGCTACTTGTCTGTCTTCTTTGGAGCGGTGTCTGTTCATGTCATTTGCCTGCTTTTCAACGGGGCTGTTTTATTCTTGTTAATTTGTTAAATTCCTTGTAGATTCTGAATATTAGTCCTTTGTTAGATGCATAATTTGAAAATATTTTCTTCCACTCTGTAGGTTGTCTGTTTACTCTGTTGATTGTTTACTAAGCTCCTTAATTAAGTTCCATTTATCTATTTTTGTTTTCATTGCATTTGCTTTTGAGGTTTTAGTCATAAATTCAAGGACAATGTTCAGAAGAATCATTTCCAGGTTTTCCTGTAGGATTTTTGCAGTTTCAGGTCTTACATTTAAATCTTTAATCTATCTCGAGTTCATTTTTTTGTATATGGTCCCATACCTCCCTCTATATCCAAAAATTAACTCGGATTGATTTGAGATTCCTCAAGAGGAATCCTTTCTTCTGGATATTGCTATCTAGTTTTCCCAACACCATTTATTTAATCCTTTCCACATTGTCAATTTTTGTCAACTTTGCTGAAAATCAGTTGATGGTAGGTATGTGGCTTTATTTCTGTGTTCTCTATTCTGTTTCATTGATCTATATGTCTATTTTTGTACCAGTACCATGCTGTTTTGGTTACTATAGTTTGAAGTTGGGTGATATGTTGCCTCTGGCTTTCTCCTTTTTGCTTAGGATTGCTTTGACTATTCATGCTCTTTTTGGTTTGGTATAAATTTTAGATATTTTTATTCTAATGCTATGATAAACAGTGTTGGTAATCTGACAGGTATTGTGTTGAATCTGTAGATTGCTTTGGGCCATATAGTCATTTTAAGAATATTGAGACTGGGCACGGTGGCTCACGCTTGTAATCCCAGCACTTTGCGGGGCTAAAGCCGGCAGATCATTTGAGGTCAGGGGTTCAAGACGAGCCTGACCAACATGGTGAAACCCCGTCTCTACTAAAAATACAAAAAAATTAGCCTGGCTTGGTGGCGCATTTCTGTAGTCCCAGCTACTTGGGAGGCAGAGGCAGGAGAATTGCTTGAACCTGGGAGGCGGAGGTTGCAGTGAGCTGAGATCACACCACTGCACTCCAGCCTGGGTGACAGAGCGAGACTCCATCTCAAGAAAAAAAAAAAAAAGAGAATATTAAGAATATTCCTGTCCACGAGCATGGGACCTTTTCCCATTTGTTTGTGTCATCTACAGTTTCTTTCATCAATGTTTTATAGTTCTTTTTCAGAGACCTTTCACCTCTTCGATTAAATGTATTCATAAGTATTTCTTTTATGTGTGTGGTACTGAGAGCTGAAGCTGGCTGGGCTTCTGGGCCAGGTGGGGACTTGGAGAACTTTTCTGTCTAGCTAAAGGATTGTAAATGCACCAATCAGTGCTCTGTGTCTAGCTAAAGGTTTGTAAATGCACCAGTCAGCACTCTGTCAAAATGGACCAATCAGCAGGATGTGGGTGGGGCTAAATAAGGGAATAAAAGCAGGCAGTGGCAACTCGCCTGGGTCTGCTTCCACGTTGTGAAGCTTTGTTGTTTTGCTTTTTGCAATAAATCTTGTTGCTACTCAGTCTTTGGGTCCGCACTACCTTTATGAGCTGTAACACTAACCACGAAGGTGTGCAGCTTCACTTCTGAAGCCAGGGAGGCAACAAACCCACCAGGAGAAACAAACAACTCCAGAGGTGCCACCTTTAAGAGCTGTAACACTCACTGCGAAGGTCTGTGGCTTCACTCCTGGAGTCAAGTGAGACCACGAGCCCACTGGAAGGAAGAAACTCTGGACACATCTGAACATCTGAAGGAACAAACTCCGGACACACCATCTTTAAGAACTGTAACACTCACCTCGAGGGTCTGCGGCTTCATTCTTGAATTCAGCGAGATCAAGAACCCACCAGAAGGAACCAATTCTGGACGCAGTATTTGTAAATTGGATTGAATTCTTGATTTGGTTTTCAGCTTGAGCATTGTTGGTGTATAGAAAAGCAACTGGTTTTTCAGTATTAATTTTGTGTTCTGAAATTTTACTGATGTTGTTTATCAGGTCTAGAGGTGTTTTAGAGGATCTTTAGGGTCCTCTAGGTATAGGACCATGTGGCATACAATTTGACTCCTTCATTTCTCATTAGGATGCCTTTTATTTATTTATTTTTGTCTTGCCTGATTGCCCTGGCTAGGGCTTCCAGTACTGTATTGAATTAGAGTGGTGAAAGTGGACATCCTTATCTCGCTCCAGTTTTTAGGAGAAATACTTTCAACTTTAGCCTGTTCAATATGATGTTCACTGTGAGTTTGTCAAAATAATAATTATTATTTTGGGGTGTGTTCCTTTGATGCCTAGTTTGTTGAAGGTTTTTATCATGAAAGGATGTGGATTTTATTGAAGGCTTTTTCTGTGTACGTTGAGATGATCATACGGTTTTTGTTTTTAATTCTGTTTATGTGGTGAATCATACTTACTGATTCGTGTCTGCTGAATCATCCATGCATTCCAGGAATAAAGCTCACTTGGTCATGATGAATTCTATTTTTGATATGCTGTTGGATTCACTTTGATGGTATTTGTTGAAGATGTTTGTGTCTATGTTCATCAGGGATATTGGGCTGTAGTTTTCTTTTTTTGTTGTATCATTACCAGATTTTGTTGATAACTGTTTTGTAGAATGAGTTAGGGAGGAATCCCTCCTTGATTTTTTGGGAATAGTTTCCATTAAATCGATACCAGCTCTTTGTATGTCTGGGAAGATTTGGCTGTAAATCCATCTGGTCTAGGGCTCTTTTGTTTGGTAGATTTTTCATTACTTATTCAATTTTATAATTTGCTCTTGGGCTATTCAGGATCTCAACTTCTTCCTGGTCCAATCTTCGGAGGTTGTACATTTCTGAGAATTTATCCATTTTCTCTAGGTTTTTTGGTTTGTGTACATAGAGATGTTCACAGTTGTCTCTGAGGATCTTTCGTATTTCTGTGGTATAAGTTATAATGTCACCTTTGTCATTTCTGATTGTGTTTGAATATTCTCTCTTTTTTGTTGGTTATTATAGTTAATGGTCTGTCAATTTTATTTATCCTTTCAAAGAAAGAACCAACTTTCATTTCATTAATCCTTTGTATGATTTCTTTTGGTCTCAATTTCATTTAGTTCTGTTCTGATCTTTGTTATTTCTTTTTTGTTGGTAGCTTGGGGTTTCATTTGTACTTGTTTTTCTAGTTCCTTTAGGTGTGATATTAGGTTCTTAATTTGAGATGTTTTTTTATGTAGGCATTTAGTGCTATAAACTTTCCTCTTAACACTGCATTTACTGTATCCCAGAGCTTTTGGTATGTATGTTGTGTCTCTATTTTCATTTGTTTCAATTGTATTTTTTTTACTTCTGTCTTAGTTTTTTGTTTACCCAAAAGTCAGCCAGGGGCAAATTGTTTAGTTTCTATGTACTTGTGTGATTTTTGGAGTTCTTCTTGGTATCGATTTCTAATTTTATTCCACTGTGATCTGAGAAGATGTTTGATGTAGTTTTGATTTCTTTGAATTTATTCAGACTTTCTTTACAACCAAGCAGATGGCCAATTTTAGAGAATGTTCCATGTGCAGATGAGAAAAATGTGTATTTTGCAGTTGTCGGGTGGAGTGTTCTATAGATGTCTACTAGGTCCATTTGGTCAAGAGTCCAACTTAGGTCAAGAGTCCAACTTAAATCTAGAGTTTGTTTGTTAGTTTTCTAACTCAATCATCTGTCTAGTGCTGTCAGTGAAGTGTTGATGTTGAAGTCCTCAACTATTATTGTATGGCTGTCTATCTCTTTTTATAGGTCTAGTAGTATTTGTCTTATAAATCTGAATGCTCTGATGTTGGGTGCATATATATCTAGGATGGTTAAATCTTGTTGTGTTGAACTCTTTATCATTGTATAATGCCCTCTTTATCTTTGAGAAAACTATTTTTCTTAACGTTATGGAGGCTGAGAAGTCGAATTGAGGGACTGCATTTAGTGAAGGTCATCTTGCTGGTGGGGACCCTGCAGAGTCATGAGGTAGTGCAGGGCATCTCATGGCAAGGGGTCTGAGCATGGTAACTTTGGTCTCTTCCTTTTCTTAAAAAGCCACCAGTCCCACTTCTCTGATTACTCGTTAATCCACGAACGGATTAGTTCATTCATGAAAGCAGAGTCCTCGTGACACAATTACCTCTTTTTTTTTTTTTTGGATACAGAGTCTCACTCTGTCACTCAGGCTGGAGGGCAGTGGAGTGATTTTGGCTCACTGCAACCTCCACCTCCCATGTTCAAGGGATTCTCATGCCTCAGCCTCCCAAGTAACTGGGACTACAGGCACCCACCACCACAGCCCGCTAATTTTTTGTAGTTTTAGTAGAGGTGGAGTTTCCCCATGTTGTCCTGGCTGGTCTTGAAATCCTGAGCTCAGGCAGTCTGCAAGCCTCAGCCTCCCAAAATGCTAGGATTACAGGCCTGAGCCACCGCCTGGCCACAATTACCTCTTTAAGGCCCCATCTCTCACTTCTGCCACTTTGGGAATTAAGTTTAATTATGAGTTTTTGAGGGGACAAATATTCATGAATTTTGGAGGAGACAAATATAACCATAATACTTTCCTCTTTAAAAATAATTTTATCACCTGTGTTGCTGTATGAAATGTTTTTTATTTTATTTTTATAGTTGTATTATTTTTCTTTGCGTAAATATATAAAAACTTATTTGTCTATTTTCCTGTTGGTGGACTTTTAGATAGGGCTGTTATAAACAAGGCTCTTCTGGACATCTTGTATATATCTCTGTGTTTTCACCTGTAGATTCTCTCCAGGATTTTTTTTTTTTATGTTGAATGGGCAGTACATTGGTGCTGTACAGTAGAAGATGAAATTGTACTATCCTTCTCGCATCATTTTTTTCTTAACTGTAAAAGATTTTATAAAGCGTGCTATAGAAAACAAGTCTCACTAAATGTACTTTCAAAATGTGTTCCATGGTCAGATAACATTGATAAGTACTCTATTCTATATACTTCCTTTGGAAAGCTACAATCAATTTATGATATCAATACCTCTGAGAAGTACGGTAATATAGAATATATTTACTTCATTGAACTGGGTGTTTCTCATGCTTTTTAATCATAAAATCCTTTTTGTTCATCACATTCACTAATATTCCATTGAACATATTTTGACATGCACTGATATATTGCATCAACACTGTATCTGTTTTTGTGTTGTGTCTTTTTGATACATCATTGAAATTTGCTGTATCACCTGTGTCCTAGAATAGGCAGGAAATATCCATGGAACAGTAGAAAATTATAGGAGAAATATAAATTCTTACCTAAAATCAGGAATTCTGTCTTAATATGTAATAATGGTGGTTGACTGTAATGCACTACCTTATCCCAGCCCTATTCCCATTCTTTGTAGCAGGATGACCAATCTCATGCTAGGAACATGGAGGAACTTTGAAAATAGTCTAGAGACAACCCTTGTCCAATGCCCTGCCTGAGTTTGAAAATAAACTTTGGCCTACTTATCCCTAGGAGTAAAAATATCAAGTCTTGTTCAGTGATTCTGGCTTGTCTATCAATCTGCCATGCCAGAGGCTGATATGTTTCCTAGATCTAGATATGTACTCTTAGGGCCATGTTCCTGATTACATTAAGACTTCGGGCTTCTAGAAAAAGTCACAGTTGCTCTACTTTCACTGGCACAGATAGTAACTGTTCTATATTGTACTGTCTTCTACTCAAAATCTTTTAATTCATATCTACTTTCTCTTTCACTTAGTTTTTGGATTCTCCTTCTCTATTTTAATTCATCAGATTTTTGGTTTATTTTTATGGTATGCCCAACATTGAAACATTGTTTCAACATTTCCTTAGAATTTGTCCCTAGGGGTTTTCTTTTCAACTTCTTGCAAGCTATTTAATAGCACTTGGGGAAGTGAAACCTCATCTCTGAGTTTCTCGGAGCTGAAAATTCTAAGATGCTACAAACCATCTCATGCTCAACTTCCGAAGTCCACTTAGCTGAGGAATTGAGTACCAAGTTTTAGGATTTCTTTGTCTTGTTTCTACCCTTACAGTCCCTAGTAACTGTTAGGAGTATAAAACCCTACATTCCATCCAGCTGGCTAAGGCCTGTTTTCCCACTTTATCTAATTTGCCATACTTTGGATCTGTTCTGATTCTCTCCTTTCTTACATTTTGTGGGTTTTCCAAAATAACTCTTTTCCCTGACAGATGGTACCTCTTTCTACCCTGTGGCACATACTGCAGTGTCCCACAGCAGCTTCCAGTGTATTTTTGAAAACATATATAAGGCTTCAATTTCACTGTCTTATAAGTCATTGTGATAGGACATGTTAGGTGATACAAATGGTTTCCACAGTTTCTAGTCTTTGCCTATAAGTTTGTGAAACATACTCTCTTGAGTGAGCTTATCTCTGTGAATCTGTACTATAGATCATTTAATCTTCAAATACAACATGAATGTAGTGGTTTGGTCAGGGACACATGTGTTTGAATTACATTTTGTTCCCTGCAGAACATGCTGCAAGTCTCTCTTCCTGATGACATTGGCAGTATTCAAGTAGGCAGACATTTCTCATGGCTATGCCCAATATGGATGTATTTTCACTGCTACCTTTTAATTCCATCTGACTCTGGTGAGTTTTCTTGTCCTTTCCCCACCAATTCCCCACCCCCACCAATTATTCACAACTCTACCTACATTCTCAATTTAACTTCCATTCTAACCATTCTAGTTGGGTAATCTTATCATGAAATCTAAACGTAGTCATTCTGAACCTTTTGCTCTTTCCATCTATGAACTTAAGGAAACATATGGCCAACCTTTCCACCTATTTCTTTGCCTGATAAGATGAGCAGTTTTCCTTCATCCAAGTCGAATTCATCCCTTTGGTCCCTACACTCCTTCCTCCTAGAGACTTGTTCTTCCAGTCACTACGTCTCTCTACTGCACTTTCTAGGCATTCAGGTCAAGACATGTCTTAGTCTGTTCAGGCTCTTATTACAAAACGCCTTAAACTGTGTAATTTACAAACAATAGAAATTTATTGTTCACCGTTCTGGAGGCTGGGAGGTCCAAGATCAAGATACCAGCAGATTTGGTGTCCAGTGAAGGCCCATTCCTCATAGGTAGTGCTTTCTCTCCATCCTCACATGGTGGAAGGGGCAAAGAATCTCCCTTCAGCCTCCTTTATAATGGCACTAATCCTGTTCATGAGGGCAGTTGCAGAGCTCTTGTGACCTCCCAAAGACTTTACCTCTTAATACTACCATATTGGGGATTAAGTCTCAATATATGAATTTTGAGGGAACGCAAACATTCAGACCATAGCAAGGCTTAAATACAACTTCCTCAGAAAAGTCTTTCCTGTTTGTAAAGCTAGAGTAGCCCAGCTGGCACTCGCTTTACATCACCCTATTTTATTGGTCTTTCTTTTTTATGGCACGTATCATCATCTAGTATATCTTTTGCGTTATCTGTTGATTCTGTCATTTTTGATGTCCTTGGGACCTTGTCTATCTTGTTTATTCCCAAAGTCTCAATGCCTAGAATAATGCTTGGAACATAGTATAAGTACAGTAAATATTGTTAAATAAAAGACTAGGTGCATTCTTTAATTTTACTGACAGTTAATTTTTACTGACTCTTTTTTCTAGCTTATAAATATGTACATTACTTTCTCATTTTAAAAACAGCAAAAGTAAACAAAAGGAAAAAAACCTTTCCTTAATCCTATTGCAATTGTCTAACCCAGAGGTTGGCACTTTATGACTTACTAGCAGGCCACCTGTTCTTATAAGTAAAGTCATGGGAAGACCCATGAACATTCATTTATATATTGTCTATGGCCACTTTTTGCTCTACAATATCACAGTTGTGTAATTGCCACAGAGACCATAGGCCCATCATCCTAAAATATTTACTATTCGGCCTTTTCTGAAAATATTTGTTGACCTCTGGATCTATGCAGTTTCTTGCATTCTTTCAAATGGCATCTCTTCTTTATCTTCCTTTAATTGGATTCCATCTTCAATGCTGCACTATAACTGCTTTCTCTAAAGTTAAAAATGATGCCCTGATTACAAAATATAATATGCTCTTTTGTCTTCCTGTTTTTGAAGTACTGTTCCTCATCTGACTTGGGATTCTCAAATCCTCTTAAAATTCTCTCTCTTTGGCTTTCCTGATATTCACCGTTTTCCCTTCTCGCACTTCCTTAACTATATCTTTTCTTTTCTTAAAGAGAGTTTCTTCTTTGGCATCTTATTTATTACTATTATTATTTTGAGACAGGATCTCGCTTTTTAACCCAGGCTGGAGTACAGTGGCACAAACATGGCTCACTGCAGCCTCCGCCTCCCGGGCTTAAGTGATCTCACCTCAGCCTTCTGAATAATTGGGACTACAGGTACATGCCACCGTGCTTGGCTAATTTTTGTATTTTTTGTAGAGACGGCTTTACCCTGTTGCCCAGGCTGGTCTTGAACTCCTGAGCGCAAGCCATTCATCCACCTTGGCCTCCCAAAATGCTGGGATTACAGGTATGAGCCACTGTGCCTAGCCTCGCCTCTTCTTAATAATTTGTATATAACCCCAGGGTTCTGTCCTAAGCCAAAAGTTCCCAATCTACATACTTCTCCTATGTAAACTCAGTCCACCTGAATGGTTTCAATCCCCCTACTCAAGTTTAGGACCCATCATGTCTCCACTTGATCTTCACAGCAGCCTCCTGACTGGTCCTCTTACATTTAGCCTTACCCCATCAAAGCAACCAGAATGTTAATTTAAGTTAGTGGTTCCCAAACTTTTCTGCACATCAGATCCACTTGGAGTGCTGTTAAAATACAAATTGCTGGGCTGTCCTGGAGTTTGGACTTAGTACATCTCATTTGGGACTGAGGATTTGCATTTCTTTGCCTCCTGGGTGATGCTGATGTTGCTTTTATAGACTGCATGATGAAATACAGTGATTTAAAAAGAAGTTTGACTTGCCCACTTTTTTCTTAAGACTGTGCAGTGATTCTTCCATAATCTACAGGATTACATATAAGCTATTACATCACATAATACCCTCCGAGATCTTACTCTGTCTCTCCTACCAGAATTCTCTTTCATTCTTTGACTCCCATTTGACTCTCTTATGACCTCAGACTGCAAATTGCAACATGTCCCTCATTGATTACACACGTCTTTGCTCTTGCTTATGCCTATAATTTGTGTGCCCTCTCTACCCACCTTTCCCCTCCTTGCCCTTTAATGAGGTATCTCAAGTGCTGTTCTACTTTCCAAGCTTCCACAATAGCCAGGACACATTTCTCTCACTACATAGTTTCTCTGTCCATTCTCTATCCGCAATAGTGTTTTACTGACATGTATTTGTATTTATTTTGTCCCTTCTAAACTGTGAGCCCTAACAGAGTGCGTAGATTCTATGACTCTTTTCCCTCAACTTCTCTCTTTTCTTTTTCTCATATTACAAAATGAAGGCTCACTTTAAGTTATCGATTTAGAAATGTATTTCTCACCGAGTGTGAGAGCACAGAAATTACTGCTCCCATATATTACTGATCACAGTGTAAATTGACCCCATACTTTCAGAAAGCAATTTGGCAAACTCCTTGATAAAAAAAATCTTTCATCTTCTTGGATTTAATCATTCCACTTCTGGGAATATGGTCTAAGAAAATAATTCAGAATATGCACAGAGACGCGTGTCACACATTGCTTATAATAGCAGAACAATTGGAAACACTGAATGCTCAACATTAGGCAATGATTAAGATGCACCTAAATGCTGAAATATTGCATATTTAAATGATGATTTTAAAGCTTATATGGTAAACATAAAATTATATTTTGTTTCAAAGCTAAGTAAAAAATAAGGGTACCAAATGTTAATATAAGTGTTAATTCTAATTATAACATTTAAAGAAAAAGACTGAAAGGAAATGCACTTAAATTCTAAGTTGAGAAATGCATGATACAACTTTATAATGTGGTTACATGTTAAACAAAAATAAAAACTTATTTTAAGCATCTATGCTGTTTTATATTATGTAGCTGTCTTTAAAATTACAAGGATGAGTCAGTCATGGTTACACAGGCAATGCTTAGTTGAGCCTTCAATAAATAGCTATTCTTGTATCTGTTCCTCTCTAAGTCACCACAGGATACAATTTTAGGAACTCAAAAATATTGAGAACCTTGACATTGAATAATATTTTGACACATTTAACCTAAGTTGTGTGCAGCAGTCAAGGGTAAGATGGCTTTTGTAAGAAAAGGAAGTTGAATATAACGTGAAGATACCAAGTTACAAACCAAAGCATAAGTCACCAATGAATTATATGGATTAAGGCAAACATTATGGCATAGATTAGGGGTTAATGTGGAGTCAGTATAGTATGGTTGTTACAGTTCTCATTTTATTACCATACTCTAGATTTGAATCCAATTTTGCCTCTTACCAGTTAGGTGACTTTCTGCAAGTTTTTAACTTCTTGGAGTCTGTTTTCACATCTGTGATATAAGGATAGAATGTTTGCTTCTGGGAGGCACTGCTAATTGCTTACCCACTGCCATCCTAGCACTCTCTCGGCTTACTTCCCTCTGCACACTGCATATGCTTGGTCTTGCTTTTACACACATATACACCCACGTTCTGTCAAAGTCTGCCTCTAATTCTAGAGGCAGTTCCTCCACATATCAGTTCCTTTCTCAACCTCTCTTCAGTCAGATCAGGGTCATATGACCCAGGCCTGGTCACTTGGATCCAGGGAGATACCACTGAACTCCTCTTGGGAAAGGTTCTTTCTCCAATAAAATATATTCATGGACAAAAAGGCCATCTTTCCTTACTATGTTCTTCTCAAGTGTGAAGTCTGAAATTGCTTTAGTCCTCTGACCCTGAGGGGAGGCATCACTGACCTACAGTGTATAGCAGAGCAGAAAGATGGACAGTCTGCATCCTTGATTACATCACCACCTGGAAGACTTTCTTTATGTAATATAGTACAGATGCTTGTCATTTAAGTCAGTTTGAATTAGCTATTCTAGCACTTGCACTTAAAACCATCACAATATTTTGTGTTAAATGAGAAAATAGGTGAAGTGCTTAACAAGGAAGTGGAGCATAGTGATCAAGAGTAGAGGCATTGGAGCCAGACTGAGTTTTAATCTGGTGCTAGCAATGTAACATTGCACAAATGACTTAAACTCTGCAATGCCATATATTAGGAGGACAGAAAAAGTTGTTTTTTTGTTTGTTTGTTTTGTTTTGAGACAGAGTTTCACTCTTGTTGCCCAGGCTGGAGTGCAATGATGTGATCTTGGCTCTCTGCAACCTCTGCCTCCCAGGTTCAAGTGATTCTCCTGCCTCAGCCTCCCGAGTAGCTGGGATTACAGGCATGCGCCACCACGCCCAGCTAATTTTTTGTATTTTTAGTAGAGAGGGGGTTTCTCCATGTTGGTCAGGCTGGTCTCGAACTCCCGACCTCAGGTGATCTGCCTGCCTTGGCCTCCCAAAGTGCTGGGATTACAGGTGTGAGGCACCACACCCAGCCAAGAAAAAGTTTTCATCTCACAACTTAATAGGTACAAGTCATGGTATGAAGATAATAATACAAGGAGATATGTTAGAGGATGACTGGTCAATGTAGTTGGCAACTTTAGATGAGGTGATCAAATGTCGTCTGAAACCTAAATGATGAGAAAGGCCATACCAGTGGTTTTCTGGTGGTGGTGGGATGGAACAGTAATAATTTGGGGAAACTGTTGAAAAGTCTGAAGGTAGGAGCTAATCTGGCATAATCCAACCAACCAACTGACCAACCAACCAACAAAAATCAGAAAAAAGATTCAAATGCCTGAAGCATCACTAAGAAAGAGGGAAATAGTTTTCATTGAAGTTGGTGCAGTGGATGAGGGCCAAGTCATGCAGAGTGTGGAAAGAACTTTGAAGTTTTCTCTAAGAGCAATTAGAAAGCTTTGGTATCTTATTCATGCAGTAAATGAATAATCATATGTAATGTGTTGAGTACTTAACATATTGATACTGTTTGAGTATTTTACATGAATTACTCATTTAATATTTATAACAAACTTTTGAGGAAACTGAGGTAAATGTATATTGAGTAATTTTCCCAAACCTATACAGCTAAATGTGAGAGAGCCAGAATTTGAAGTTGGGAAGTCTAGTTTCATAATTCTTGCTTACTCCATTAAGCTTACAGATTCCGTTTTATGACTATGTGAATACAGCATGCTAAGGAAGGTGACGAAATAGAATTTGTTTCTTCTCCTCAAAGCTAAGCACAACTTTATTTCACCTGTAATTTAATTCAATTTAGTCTAACAATAACTTATTGATGTCTTACTCAGCGCATGATACTGGCTGAAGTTCTGGGGTATGGAAATGAAATTACCACTTTTCTCTTGACCTCACAGTTTAGCAAAAAGAGACAAGTGAATACATAAATATATTTAATGCAGTAAGTTTCTCTGATACTTAATATGAGTGCTCACCAATACCCAGTCATCCTCTTTTTTGAAGGCACACTTGCATTAAGCTAGGCAATGTGACTGATTTTGCCTGTAGATTCTCAGCACGTCACTTTTGAGCTGAGTCATTAAAATCCCCCGCAGAGTCTTCAGTTTCTTCTGTCCTCCTGAGGTGATTAAGGAAGCCTCATGTTTCCATAGCAGAGACATAATTTGGAAGCAGCCTGGTGGACCAATGAAGTCATTTCATAGAGAACAGCCCTGGGAAGATGCCAGACCTATCTGAATTCTCTATAAGCAAGAAATAAGCTTTGTTAGGTTAAATTGTTGAAATTTTAGGCTTTAGTTGTTGCCACAGGAAGGCATAGACTCTACTGTGTTTTCTGATATGAATGAAGCATATGTGAAGCACTCTGAGACACAAGAAAAAAAAAGGACATTAATTCTCAATGATAAAATGTAGATGTTTCCTCAGAAGTGCTAACATTTTAATTATGTATAAAAGATGAGGAAGACTTCAACAGTTAGAAAGATTAGTAGATGGACTTGAAGAGTGACCAGAAAGGGTTATCAGGGGAAAATGTATTAAGTGAATAAACACAGCATTATGTGAAAGTAAAAAAAAAATACATTTGAAAGACAGAAAATGAGGCCATGTAGCTGAAATATCTGATAATTACTAGTAAAGTGGTAGACAGATGTGAAGCTAATGGTAGAGAGATGTGAATAAAGAGAGAGATTAGGGGCCACTTGGGTTCTGATAAACCTAGTTCTTGAACTTGAGTTTGTACAATCTGGGAGAGCTGTTAGAAGCTTTTGATAGAGATGTGTGCGACAGCCACGAATAGACATCTATTGAATAGACCACAGTAATGATGATGTAGTCCCTGCCCTGTGTTGCTTGCAAACTATGATAGGAGATGTTAGATTATTTTGAAATCATTTGTTTAGGTGGCATTAAGTGTAAATTCAATAAGATAAAACACTTTTAGAGAAACCGAGGTAACTGACAGTGGAAGTTACATTTTCGCTGAGTCTTCAGTGTTCAAAAGGTGGTTAAGACTTCAAGTGGGAAGTAGGAAGGAAAAGGTAGAGGGGAAGGCCTCGTGTGAGGTAAGAGTTGGGCTCTGTGATAGCCTGCAGTCTGTGCCTAGGAAAAACAACTCAGGCAGTAATATGACCAATGACTCTAGCATTAACCAGATGTGAAAATGTGAACAGCTCAACGGGAACAGTAGTAGCAGGCATAACTTGTGTTGGATTAAATGGGTCAAGAGACCTCGCCAAGGTGCCTAGCTTAGACAGGTAAAGGAAAGATGCATGTCATTAGTTGAAATTGAGAAGGTAAGAGAGGTAGCACATTGAGGAGCCATAAAGCGCCAGCTGCTTCACCTCAGCCTAGGTCTGTAGGAGACGTAGTGGAGCCAGCTGAGTGAGAAAACAGCACTGCTTCTTACCATAATACTCGGGTGTGTATTGAATCCTCTTTCAACACATGAAGAATTTTTATTTTATACATTTATTCTTAATTTTTATGGATACATGTGAAGGATCTTAAGACAAAAATGAGCCCTCTGGAAAACAGTAGTGGTGCTCTCAAGAGGGAAAAGGAAAAGCAGTGGGTAGAGAGTTATTTATTTGATAATATTTACAAATTCCTATGGGTATAAATCTCATTATTATGGAGTAAACATGTTATTTTTTCAAGTATATGTAGATGTTGATATTGTAGATAAAATATAAATCATTACAAAATGATACTGCATACTTAGTAACTTCTTGTCATCATTAGAATTTCTTAATCACCTTATAATAAAAATACAACCGTTACCACCAACAGGGTCTGCAAAGCTTTTGATATTAAAAAGAAAACCCTGGCTGGGCACAGTGGCTCATGCCTCTAATCCCAGTAATTTGGGAGGCCGAGGCTGGCAGATCACCTGAAGTCAGGAGTTTGAGACCAGCTTGGCCAATATGGTGAAGCCGTCTCTACTAAAAACACAAAAATTAGCCGGACATGGTGGCAGGCACCTGTAATCCCAGCTACTCGGGAGGCTGAGGCAGGAGAATCACTTGAACCTGGGAGGCAGAGGTTGCAGTGAGCCGAGATTGCACCACTGCACTCCAGCCTGGGGGATACAGTGAGAAAATCCTCTCCTTGGAAAACCTGAGAATCTGCGCTTTGTTTTCTGGAGAATTATTTATATCACTGGCATATTAAATTACATATCTGAAGGAACCTGAAATTAATAAAATAGAAATTCATTCTTTTACTTTGAATGTAAAGCAAAAGGATCGGAGGGGGATGGTTTTCATTTGATGTAGTTAATAATATAAAGTTTGCACATCCAGACAGGAAAAATGTTACCAGGAGTTCTGAAGAAGCTCCTAGAACAACATCAAGTCTTAGTCATCAGTTCTAGCGATTTTTAAGGATTCCAATGCTTTGCATGTAAGTGTGTGGGGTTGGGGTTAAAAGGATTAGGAGAGATGTACACGTGCTGCAATGGGCTTCTCAGCCTGAAACTCTTGGGGAAACCAGGAAGTTTGCCAGCCCTTCACCTTATTTTCAGACAAGTTTTTCATTTGAAACCTGTGGATTCTATGCTTCATTTTTCTTGTGAAAGCATCTCTTACAAATTGTGGTGAAAATTGTTACTTTTTCCCTGTATGGAACTTTCATTCTTTGTGAGAAATTAGTTTACTGCAAATATAGAATGACTTTGCTGAAAGCATTTTGTTCAACTCAAGTACTAGAAGGTGATGCCCTTTACTGTTGTTTCAGTGAAAAGTCAAGGAGGGTTTAAGTAAATGTTTTCCTAATAAGTTGTATGGGGAATATATAACTCTACTCAGTGGAAAAATCTAAAAAGCAATTAGCAAAGGCACTGTTTGTTACTAACGACATTTTCCTGGAAGTCCGTTGTTACTATCAGCATGAAAGTTTTCCTACTACTTGTCCCCCTCTCTTTTGAGCTGGAAATCAGTTAACACCAAGTAGCTTCTGATTTCATTTTGCAAAGCTTTCTTTGTTAACATCTCCAGGTATTATATAAGGCTTTCCGTTGGCATAGAAATTTAATTAACTATCGTGAGTTTGCCTTCACTTTGACTATGATTATTTGATTTCAACTGCCTTTAGGGAGAAAAATACGGAAGTATATTACTCACCACTTCACATCTGTTGCAGTTTAAAAGACTCGGTTGCCAAGAATTGTATGAAGCATCACTTAGTAATGATTCAGGAAATGATTAGTCAATGCATCTTATGCTCAAAGTGAAGGGCACCCTCTGTTGTCCATCTTGCTATGATAGGGCCTTGATGTTTTCCAAGATACAGAATCAAGCTATAAATTTGAAATTTCTTCTTAGCTGAATATTGATAAATACATAGTGATAAATGACACACATAAGACAGTCTTTCAATATTCTAGTTAGAATGTTCAAGAATAGAGACAGGATCCCCCCAAAATAGACCCTGATATTGATAATGAAACAGCAGCAAACTGGCTTCATTTTCTTCTTCCACCAATTAACTAAGATTTCCATAGTCTTTTGATATCTCTGTGTATCAGTCTTCTCCTTTAGAAAATGAAGATGTTAATAACTGCACAATGTACAGTTGCAAAGATTTTATTTTTGCTGTGTGATTTAAATTTGAAGTGCAAATGAAGTTTCCAGCTTTTGTGTGTGTGTTTTGTAATTTTATGATGCAATTATTATTGCAACTACACTATGAAAAGGCCAGGGAACTGATGACTATCTTGTACACTTAAGTCTTTGGCTGAAAACTAATACTTCAAGAAGTTGCTTCTCTAAACTTTCTCCTTATATGACTCCCATTATTTTATTACCTCTTCTAAACATCTCTCACTTCTCTAAATGTTGTGATGGATATTTATTATTTATCCGTGCTTTGATTCTTGATTTCTCATAGTTAGACCTCTGCTATTTTTCTTAACAAATTGAATAACACTTGAATGTTTATTTTCATTTTATTTTCAATTCCTGTGCTGTTCCGTTTGTGTAACACAGCATGTCGAAGTCAAACTCGTCATCTTTATCCAAAACCTACCTTAGGTTTGATAGTTTTAGCAAGAAAGACCACACAATGGTAATCTGTTTTTTCTTTGGTGGGAATATAATATTTGGTTTGCTCATTGCAGTTCTGTTGGTCATCATTTCTAGATCTTTTCGATGGACAGAGTTAAGGTTTTCAGAGCTGATCTTTTTCAGTGGACAGAGCTAATGCAATTTGTATGCATGTGTGTGTGTGCGCATGTGTGTATATATAAAAATACACACACACATATATGCATATTTTATATTTAATAAGTTCATATTAAAGATAAAATACCTCGTAAACTCACACTGGTACTTCCTATACAAATTTTGGAGTACAAAGGTTTTACTTAATTTGTTTTATATTACATCTGTATCTCTTCTCTTTCACATTAAGAAACTCAGTTCCCAAGGACACAGGGGATAATATAATTAGAATTTCTGAAAATTTCTCATTTCCTTTATCCTACATCACCTGCATAATTGTCTCAGGATAGCAATTCTATTACCACCAATATTATTTAGAAAAAACAATTTTTTAATTTGCTCTCCCCACTCTCATCTGTTTTTTAAATAAATTGTCTTACATTGTCCTGTATCTACATATAATATTAAATATTATAATCTCTCATTTTTAGCTCTCTTTTAGTATTAATTTTACAAGTAGTTATGTATTAGTGTTCACCACTAGTTTTATGTCAATGTTTCTCTAGTCATTTTGGTTTTGTGAAGTTTGCTCTCTGGTAGGTTTCTCAAGAAGGCCTCATGGGAACAATATTTCTAGAGTTCTTGAATGTTGATAACTTGCAAATTTGCCTTTTCTTCCTTTTTTTCCTAACCACTAGACCGGCAGGAATGCTCTTTATTCTTGAAAGTCCCTTTGCTAGGTATGAAATCTTTGACCTATGTTTTTACTCTTGATTATCTTAAATGTATTAATCCATTTACTTCTGCCATAAAGTGTTGCTGTAGAAAAATTCAGTGATGACCCAATTTTCTTTCCTTCTAAGTCTGTTGTCCAGAAGAGCTTGCCTTTTTTTAATCTCAAAAAAATTTTAAAATATGTCTTGAAGTTGGTCATTCTGGGTTGTTATAAGTTGGATAAAAGCATATATAATATGCTTTTTTGATATGTAATTTTGAATCTTTTTTATTTCGGGGTTTTATTATAGGATTTAGCATTTTTTCCCCTTGCATTGATTGTCTTATTCACTGCCTCCTATTATGGATATATTTAGTCATGTTTGCTTGTTGTAAATGACAGGATTTTCTTCTTTTTTATGACTGGATAGTATTCCATTGTGTGTATATACTGTATTTTCTTCATTCATACATTGATGGACACTTAAGTTGATTCCATATCGTGGCTGTTGTGAATAATGCTACAATCAAGGTGGGATGCAGCTATCTCTTCAACATACTGATTTCATTTTCTGTAGCTATATATCCAGTAATGGGATTGGTGGATCATATGATAGTTCTATTTTTAGATTTTTGAGGAACTTCCATATTGTATTTCATAATGGCTGTACTGATTTTCATTCCCAACAACCGTATACAAGGGTTCCCTTTTCTCCACATTCTTACTAACATTCATTATCTTTTGCCATTTTGATAATAACCATTCTAACAGGTATGAGGTGATATTTGGTGATTTTAATTTGCATTTCCTTGATGATTAGTGATATTGAGTATTTTTTAATATACTGTTGGTCTGCATACCTAATATTCTTGTATGTCTTCTTTTGAGAAATGAATATTTTGCCTGTTTTTCAATTGTGTTATTTGTTTCTTACTGTTGAGTTACTTCAGTTCTTACATGTTTTGGATATTATCCTCTTATAAGGTAAATAGTTTGCAAATATTTTATTTCATTCTGTAGGTTGTCTCTTCACTCTGTTGATTGTTTCTTTTGCTGTGCAGAAGCTTTTAGTTTGATGTAATCTCATTTATCTGTATTTGTTTTTGTTACCCATGAGTTTGAAATTTTATTCAAAAAACGCTTGCCTAGACTAGTACCATGGAGCTCTTTTCCTAAGTTTTCTTCCAGTAGTTTCATAGTTTTAGGTCTTACATTTAAGTCTTTAATCAATTTTTGAGTTATTTCTTATATGTGGTGAGAAAGAAGAGTCTAGTTTCATTCCTCTGCCTGTGGAAATTGTTTCCCTACACCATTTATTGAAGAGACTGTCCTTTCCCCATTGTGTGTACTTGATGCCTTTTTCTGAAAATCAGTTTGCTTTATATGCATGGATTTATTTCTGGGCTCTCTATCCTATTCAATTGGTCTACGTGTCTGTTTTTATACCTGTACCATGTGGTTTTGGTTACCATAGCTGTGTAGCATGTTTTAAAATCAGATAGTGTAATGCCACTAGCTTGTTCTTTTTGCTCAAGATTGCTTTGGCTATTTGGAGTCTTTTGTGGTCTATACAAACTTCAGGACTGTTTTATCTATTTCTGTGAAGAACGTCATCAGTATTTTGAGAGGTAATGCACTGAATCAATAGATCACTTTGGGCAGTATGAACACTTTAACAATATTAATTCTTCCAATCCATAAATACAGCTGTCTTCCCTTCTGCTTTTGTCTTCTTCAATTTCTTTAATCAAAATTTTATAGTTTTCAGGGTACAGGTCTTTCACCTCTTTGGTTAAATTTATTTATTTTTGTTCTTTTTTAGCTATTGTTAATGTGAAAACACAAAAAATAACAGTTTTTTGATGGCATCTTTAGAATTTTCTATATCTAAAATCCTATTATATGTAAACAGGGACAATTTTATTTTATTATTTTATTTTTTATTTAATTAATTTATTTATTTTTGAGATGAAGTCTTACTCTGTCACCCAGGCTGGAGTGCAATGGTGCAATCTCGGCTCACTGCAACCTCCGGCTCCCTGTTTTAAGCTATTCTCCTGCCTCAGCCTCCCAAGTAGCTGGGACTACAGGTGCCCACCAACACACCCAGCTAATTTTTTGTATTTTAGAAAAGACGGGGTTTCACCATGCTGGCCAGGCTGGTCTCGAACTACTGACCTCAGGTGATCCACCCGCCTCGGCTTCCCAAAGTGCTGGGATTAGAGGCATGAGCCACCGTGCCCGGCCCAGGACAATTTTATTAATACTTCCTTTCCAATTTTGATGCCATTTATTTTTTTCTCTTGCCTAATTTCTCTGGCTAGGTACTGCCAGTACTATATTGAATAGAAGTGATGAGAGGGGGCATCCTTGTCTTGTTCTAGATCTTAGAGAAAAAACTTTCAACTTTTCCCTGATGAATATGATGTTAGTTATGGGTTTATAATATATGACCTTTATTGTATTGAGGAACATTTCTTCTATACAAAATTTATTGAGAGTTTTCTCATGGAAGGATGTTGACTTTTTCAAATGATTTTTCTGTATCTGTGGATGATTATTGTCCTTCATTCTACTAATTTGATGTAGCACATTTATTGCTCTATATATTTTGAAACATACCTGTACCCCTGGGATGAATGCCACTTGATCATGATGAGTGATCTTTTTAATGTGCTGTTGAATTTAGTTTTCTGGTGTTTATTTGAGGATTTTTGTATCATGTTCATCAATATTATTGGCCTCTAGTTCTTCTTTGGTAGTGCCTTTGTCTGGCTTTGATATCATGGTAATACTGGCCTCATAGTATAATTTGAAAGTATTCCCCTGCTTCCATTTTTTTTTTCAGAATAATCAGAGAATAATTGGTATTAGTACTTCAAATGTTTGAAGGATTCAACAGTGAAGCCGTTAGGTCCTTGGCTTTTCTTTGGTGAGAGACTTTAATACTAATTCAATATCCTTAATATTCTATTAAAATTTCCTATTTCTTCATAATGCAGTCTTGATAGATGTATGCACCAAGAATTTTATCAATTTCTTCTAGGTTATTCAATTTATTGTCATGTAATTGTTTATAGTAGTCTCTTGTGATTCTTTTACTTGCTATTGTATCAGATGTAATGTCTCTTTTTTCATTTCTGATTTTATTCATTTGAGCCTCTTTGTTCTTAATCTAGCTACGCGTTTATTGTTGTTTATCTTTTCAGAAAACAACTCCTAGTTTCATCGATCTTTTCTAGATTTTTTTCTAGTCTCCATTTATTTCTGCTGTGATCTTTGGACTTAATTTGTTCTTGTTTTTCTAGTTTTTTGAGATACAACATTAAGATTTTTATTTGAGATCTTTCTTCTTTTTGTGATGTAGGCATTTATTGCTGTAATCATCTCCCTTAGATTGCTTTTGCTGCATCCCATAGGTTTTGGTATGTTGTATTTCCATTTTTATTAATCTCAAGAAAATTTTTAAATTTTTCTTTTAATTTTTTAATTGACCCGTTGGTTGTCAATGAAGCATGTTGTCCAATTTCCATTAAATGAACATATTTAATTTCCATGTATTTGTGAATTTTCTGAAGTTTCTTCTGTTACTGATTTCTAGTTTTATACCATTGCAGTAAGAAAAGATACTTGATATAATTTTTATCTTCTTCAATTGTTAAGACTTGTTTTATGTCCTAACATATATTGTAACCTAAAGAACGTTCCATGTGCAATTGGGAAGAATGCACATTCTGTAGCTATTGCATGGAATGTTCTGTATGTCTGTTAAGCCTATTTGATTTAGAGTGTAGCTTATATCCGATGTTTCCTTATTGATTTTCTATCTGGATGACCTGTTCATTGCTGAAAGTGTGGCATTTAAGTCCACTATTATTACTGTACTACAGTATCTCTCTCTTCAGATCTATTAATATTTGCTTTATGTATATATAGGTGCTCCAATGTTAGGTACATATATGTTTATATTGTTATATCCTTTTGCTGAATTGACTCCTTTATCATTATATAATGGCTTCTTTGTCTCTTTTTATAGTGTTTGACTTAAAGGTTATGTTATCTAAGTATAGCACCTCCTGTTCTCTTTTGGTTTTCATTTATGTGAAATATCATTTTCCATATCATCATTTTCAGTCTGTGTGTGTCCTTACAGATAAACTTAGTATTTTGTAGGCAGCATGTAGTCGTGTCTTGTTTTTTGGCCAATTCAGCCACTGTTATCTATGTATTTTGATGGAAGAATTTGATCCAATCACATCCCAGGTACCCGTTAATAGATAAGAATTTGCTGTTGCCATTTTGTTAATTTCCTTTGTTCCTTTCTTCCTCTCTTGCTGTCTTCCTAAGTGATTTTTCCCTTGTGATATGTTTTTATTCTTTGCCTTTTACTTTTTGTGTATCTATTATAGGTTGTTGCTTCATGGTTACCAAGTGGCTTGCAAAAAACATCTAATAGTTATAACAGGTTACTTTAAGCTAATAACTTTGGTCACACACAAAAAATTTTCATATGTTTACTCCATTCCTTCCCCTAAATTTTGAGTTTTTGATATTACATTGTTTTATAGTGGATATTCCTTAACACATTATGTCAGTTATTTTTTAATAGTTTAGTTTCTTAGCCTTCATAATAAAGATATCCATGTTTTATACATCACCATTAAAGTATTAATGTATTTTGAATTTGACTTTGTCTTTACTCTTACCTTAAATACTTTAAGGTACTTATTGTTACTATGACAGGTGCAACACTGGGGCAGGCCAGAAGCTTTGGGCAGATGCAGGTGGGCGTGGAGCTGGGGCATGACAGAAGCTCAGGACCACAGAGGGCTGGCTACTTGCCATTCAAGGCTGCCTGAAGCCCAGGGCCACTGAAGTCAGCGTAGTGTTGGTACAAGGCATAGATGAAGTCTACCACACAAGTCTGAAGCCTGGAGCTATGTTGTCCCACTGATGCCAGAGCAAGTCTAGAGGCTTAGTCCTGGGTACCAGCCCAGAATATGGAGCTCTGGAGGTCTGCATGGTGCTGAGTTTTAGTGTAACAGGTTCAGTGTTGGAGTCAAGGCAAAGTCCTATGCTCACTTCTCTCTCTTTTCCCCATGTTGATAGTATCTTTCATCATGCTGTGTGCTCCCTGGGGTTGTGAAAGGGTGATGTGGCTTATATAAAACTAACCTTCTTACCCTGTTTAATGCATCTTTTAAAAATCGTTGTGCTAGAACTAGGTACTGTGATTTCTTACCTGGTTTTCTTAGTCCTTGTGGAGGTATTTTTGTGTGTGAGTAGTTTTAAAATTGATCTTTCTGTGGGGAGATGATTGCCAGAGTCCTATTCTGCCATCTTGCCCCACCCTAACAGCCTATCTTTATCTTAAGGTCAGAGAGGCAAGCCTGAATCTTTTCCCTCCTTTCCTTCTTTATCATTCTTTCTTTTGTCCTGGGAGCCTTCCACAGAGCCCAGAGAATGTCCATATGCATAATTTCAGAAAGAAAGAAACTAGGCAATTTTAAGGATTTCTTCCATCTTTGAAAGTGTAGTGTTTTAAACTGTTAAAAATTTTAAAGTCTAAAAAAAACCTTAGAAGCTTTTCTTAAAAATATTGAAACAATGATATAAAATTAAATATATTTTAGCTTTTTTTTGGCCCACAATTTTAACAGTCTCACCATCAATGCCTTAGCTTTCTCGTTAGAACCATTTGACTATTTCTCAGAATTATAATGCAGACATACACTTGTAGGCTGGAGATGAGCCATAATAAATATATATAGATATACAGATATGTACACGCAGGCAAAAAAGTTTTCTCCAATTTCTTCAAATCAGCCAGTAAATTTTGAAAACTTGTCTTTAGAGATCTGTAAGAAACAGTGAGAAGCTCATCTAATGAAACTATTTGTGCCAATGATTTTATCTTGTTTAGACCAACTTCACTTTACTTTCTGTACCTAGGAAATAATATATGTTTTATTTTCTATACCTTGCAAAATATTTACATATTTATTAAATATGCTAAATTAAAAAAATAAAGTTTGTTTATTCAATGGATTTTATTTGCAGATATTTCTACTAGGAGAGTGAAACCATTTTTAAATTGTTAGCTGCATAATGCTTCTCCTCTACTTGTCAGTTTTCAATGAGTAGAGGGTTTGAGAAGGATGCACATGGAAAAATGAAAGGAGACCAGGTTTACCAGTCAGATCAGCTAAGTCTCCCAGGGAAAGTACTGCTGACAGGTAGTCTTGTATCAAATTGGGCAGATTCAAGAACATCCTATCCTCAATTTCTGCAAATGTGTCTCATTCCCTGGGGAAAAATGTTGAGTTATTTATTGATCATAATTACACCTGTTAGTCTGTAAGTTTAACCTTTAATCTATATCTGCCTTAATTACTCCTGTTTTGCCTTTAGGAAGCACTAAAATATTTTTAATGGCTGCTTTTAAAAAAGCATTTGTAAAGGAAACAGATAATCAGAAGATAGAGTGATAACATAAGCACAAGCTATTAATTTGTTAAATCACTGACTGACATTAGTCAGTTCTTACATAGTATCCAAAAGAACATGCATATAAATGTCTGTAAGAATTTTTTTTTTTCCGTCAGGGGGATGGAGTCTCACTCTGTCACTCAGGCTGGAGTGCAGTGGCGCGATCTCGGCTCACTGCAACCTCTGCCTCCTGGGTTCAAGCGATTCTCCTACCTCAGCCTCTTGAGTAGCTGGGATTACAGGCATGCAAGAATTCAGTTTTATGCAGAAGTACACATTCATTTTTTATATAAGAATATTTTAAATTATTGGAATTAACCTCTATGTGTTCAGGTGCAACTGAAAAGGCCATTGGCAAATGACAGAGTATAATATACCAAATATCGTCCAAAAATAGATATTTTATTAATTTATAAATGTTTTTCCCCTATAGAAATACCCAGACAAGTTTAATGAGATAAAATTTCCTGCTTAAAGCTCATTAAGTATAGACTTTGCTAACTCATTTCCACCTGCAACAACTGATATTAAAATACTATTTTGAAAACAGCATATTTCCCTTCAGCAATTCATTCTTCAGATTTACTTAAGAATTATATGTCTCAAAAAGCATAATTATATAGGCTGGGCATGGTGGCTCATGCTTGTAATCCTAGCACTTTGGGAGGCCAAGGTGGGTGGATCACTTGAGGTCAGGAGTTCGAAACCAGCCTGGCCAACATGGTGAAACCCCATCTCTACTGAAAATTTAAAAAATTAGCCAACCGTGGTGGCAGTCACCTGTAATCCCAGCTACTTGAGAGGCTGAGGCAGGAGAATTGCTTGAACGTGGGAGGCGGTTAGCCAAGATCACGTCATTGCACTCCAGCCTAGGCGACAGAGCGAGACTCTGTCTCAAAAAAAAAAAAAACATAATTATATAGATAGTTATAGTTTTACTACATAGACATTAAAATAAGAAGTCACCTCAGTTACTCAGCATGTAAATGTAAAAGAAGATTTAATTTGAAACCATTGACCTTACATAAATTCTCCAGTAGTTTAAACAAGAACGAAATGTAGACATTTAGCATAAAATACTTTTTTTCCTGTTCACATAAGTTCTATAGCCAATATGTAGGAAAATGAGAGAAATATCTCTGTTTTCTCTTTAGTTGTTTATTTTTTTGAAACATGCCATGATTCAACCATTTATTTTCTGATTTTTAGATGGAAAAACTGGATTTAAAAAAGAGGAAAAAGCTATTCATGATGTTCAATAAAGAGTTGCTATTTTATAATATATAAATTATTTGAAAAGCAATATTTTTTATTCACCAGTTGTAGGCACTGTTCTTGGTGTCTACCGATGTGCATACTATGGAACAATTGCCCCCTGAGGAGCAGTGGTATCCACTTCAGTCATTCCACTCAGGTACAACTTGAATTACTATCTCAGAAAGTCTTCTTGAGTGATTTGAATTTTGTTTTTATAATATGATAATGCATAAAAATAAAATTTTCATATAAATAAAAATTTAAAAATATGGGCTTTGTAACCAAGCAGATTTGAGTTTCAATAATGCAAAAAGCAGATATTTGATAATATATGTTGAATTAATGAAAAAATCAATCATTCAATCATTTAATGAATCCTTGCTATATTTCTTATAAGTTAAATTAATGAAAGAGTCAGTAAATCATTTAGTCATTTGATGAATCCTAGTTCCATTCCTTATAGATTGTATAATATTGGGCAAGTTATTTGGAAAACTGAAACACAGAAAGGTTATTTATAAGACACGTTCACAGATTTGGAGTGAAGACAAATGGCATATTGTTTACATCTGAAAAAATATCTAGAGCATAATAATTGGTCAATAAAAGTTTATGTCTTTTATTTTTCTTGAAGACATTTCAGCTCTTTGCAGCAATACGCTGTCATAGATCTGTCAAGTAATATGCAATTTTACATAAGGGTACTTATTTATGCAATACCATAGAACCGAGCTTTCAACCAGGCAAAGTTACTCACACTATGCAAGACTTAATCTGGAAAATAGCTTGGAGTTTATCGGATTCAGTACCCTTAAGTTGCTTGGAGAATTTTAGGACTCTTAAGTGTATATCTAGAAAGACATTTCTTGAACATCTTGAATAAAACGTAATTTGAAATGTTTTAAGGGGACCAATACTGAAAATTTACATGAATAAAGATGACTTTTTCCATTGGATAGGCTTTCTTTTATGAAATGAGCATATATGTGCCAAACCAGTTTGATTAATCTTTTTTTCTGGGTTTTGGCATTTGTAGTTCTTTATGTTTGACAAAACCAGATCAGTGTAGGAGATTTTTAGTGGCAGGTGAATTTTTTAATAGAAAGAATAGAATATATTATGCCTATTATCTTTTTCTCAGCATATTGGTGTTCCATCTTTATTTCTCTACTTTCATCTATCTTTAGTGGCTAAACATGGTTCCCACTTTCCCCCTACTTTCTCCCCTATTACATGGTAGCATTAAAAAGCATTACTTATTTTTGTTAAACCCAATGTCCTCTTCTTGTTCTTTAATCTTAAACTTTCTACAAATTTTGCCTCTGTTATATTTCTCTTCCTTCTTGAATCTTGGTTTCCAAAGTGCACCTGTATCTCAGTATTCCTCTTACATCTTCAGAAACTTTTGCTCTGTTTCATTCTTCCCTATTCAGATCCTTCAATATAGTTTTCCTGCAATATTTTGTGCTTACTCATCCTAGTGGATGTGTGGTGTACCACCAAGAGCACAGGAAAGAAGTAATTAATACCCCTGCTGCTGGGTGTACTGCCAGAAGAAAACTCTAAACTGTCAGCACGTCTCAGGAGTTACCTCAGATGAGAGAGAAAGAGTCACCTATCCAAAGAGAATGCTTTCTTTCCAAGGCAGCTGCTTCCCATGGCTGATTGGTACAGAGCCCAGACTCTACTTCAATTTGAGACAGCTCTAAAGGGTCATACTGTCTGTAGAACATCCTGTAGGGCTAGCTGAAGCTTCCATTGAGACTGCATTTCACCTTGACTTCTCCCTTTGCCCAATCTGTTGATCCCAAGCATATTCCATAGTCATCATCATGCTCACTAATCTTCATTTTAGAGCCTGCTTCCTTGGGAACTCAATTTGTGACAGTCAACTTTTTTTCTCTTGTATACTCCTTCTTGATATAATCTCAACACTCTTCATACCTCAACTTGCATCAGATAATTCCCAACTCTTTCTCTTGCTCTGAGCTCCTTTGGAACCCTCAGTATTTGATATGGTTTGGCTTTGTCCTCACCCAAATCTCATCTGGACTTCCCACATGTTATGTGGGGGACGCAGTGGGAGGTAATTGAATCATGGGGGCAGGTCTTTTCCGTGCTGTTTTTGTGATAGTGAATAAGTCTCATGAGATTTGATGGCTTTAAAAAGGGACGTTTCCCTGCACAAGCTCTCTTCCTTTTGTTTGCCACCATGTGAGATATGCCTTTCACCTTAGGCCATAATTGAGAGCCCTCCCTAGCCACATGGAACTGTAAGTCCATTAAACCTCTTTCTTTTGTAAATTGCCCAGTCCCAGGTATGCCTTTATCAGCAGCATGAAAATGGACTAATACAGTAAATTGGTACCAGTAGAGTGGGGCATTGCTGAAAAGATACCCAAAAATGTGGAAACAACTTTGGAACTGAGTAACAAGCAGAGGTTGGAACAATTTGGGGGGCTCAGAAAAAGGCAGGAAAATTTGGGAAAGTTTGCAACTTCCTAGAGACTTGTTGAATGGCTTTGACATAAATGCTGGTAGTGATATGAACAATAAGGTCCAGGCTGAGGTGGTCTCATATGGAGATGAGGAACTTGTTGAGAACTTGAGCAAAGGGGACTGTGGTTATGTTTTAGCAAAAAGACCGGGAGCATTTTGCCCCCTGCCCTAGAGATTTGTGGATTTTTAAACTTGAGAGAGATGATTTAGGGTATCTGGTGGAGGAAATTTCTAAGCAGCAAAGCATTCAAGAGGTGATTTGGGTGCTGTTAAAGGCATTCAATTTTATAGGGGAAGCAGAACATAAAAGGTTGGAAAATTTGCAGCTGGACAATCTGATAGAAAAAAAAATCCCATTTTCTGAGGAGAAATTCAAGCTTGCTGTGGAAATTTGCATAAGTAACTAGAAGCCAAATGTTAATCCCCAAGACAATGGGGAAAATGTCTCCTGGGCATGTCAGAGTTCTTCATGGCAGCCCCTCCCATCACAGGCCCTGAGGCCTAGAAGGAAAAATGTTTTCATGGGTTGGGCCCAGAGTAACTGTGTTGTGTGCAGTCTAGGGACTTGGTCCTCTGTGTCCCATCCACTCTAGCCATGTCTAAAAGGGGCGAAGGTACAGCTGAGGCTGTGGTTTCAGAGGGTGCAAGCCCTTCACCTTGGCAGCTTACATGTGGTATTCAGCCTGCAAGTGCACAGAAGTCAAGAGTTGAGGTTTGGGAACCTCCACCTAGATTTCAGAGGATGTATAGAAATGCCTGGGTGTCCAGGTAGAAGTTTGCTGCAGTGGCGGGGCCCTTATGGCAAACCTCTGCTGGGGCAGCGGGGAAGGGAAATGTGGGATTCAAGCTCCCACACAGAGTCCCTACTGGAGCACCGCCTAGTGGAGCTGTGAAAAGTGGACCACCGTCCTCCAGATCCCAGAATGGAAGATCTGCTGACAGCTTGCACCATGCACCTGGAAAAGCCACAGACACTCAACATCAGCCTGTGAAAGCAGCCAAGAGGGTGGCTGCACCCTGCAAAGCCACAGGGTTGGAGCTGCCCAAGACCATGGGAACCCACCTCTTGCATCAATATGACCTTCATGTGAGACAAAGGACATCATTTTGGAGCTTTAAGATTTGACTGCCCTGCTGGATTTCAGACTTGGATGGGGCCTGTAGTCCTTTTATTTTGGCCAAATTCTCCCATCTGGAATGGCTGTATTTACCCAATGCCTATACACCCATTGTATCTAGGAAGTAACTAACTTGCTTTTGATTTTATAGGCTCATAGGCAGAAGGGACTTGCCTTGTCTCAGATGAGACATTGGACTGTGGACTATTGAGTTAATGCTAAAATGAGTTAAGGCTTTGGTGGACTATTGGGAAGGCATGATTGGTTTTGAAATGTGAGTACATGAGATTTGGGAGGGGACAGGGTGAAATGATATGGTTTGCCTGTGTCCCAACCAAAATCTCATCTTGAAATCTCATGTGTTGTGGGAGGGACCCAGTAGAGTGTAATTGAATCATGGAGGCAGGCCTTTCCCGTACTGTTTTTGTGATAGAGAATAAGTCTCAGAAGATCTTATGGTTTAGAAAGGGGAGTTTCCCTGAACAAGCTCTCTTTCTCTTATCTACCACCATGTGAGACATGCCTTTCACCTTCTGCCATGATTGTGAGGCCTCCCCATCCAGGTGGAACTGTAAGTCCATTAAACCTCTTTCTTATGTAAACTGCCCAGTCTTGGGTATGTCTTTATCAGCAGTGTGAAAATGGACTAATACAGTACTTTTCACACTTACATATGATACATCTTTATAAATATATTAGCTCAAACTCACTATTGTCATGTGCATCCATGTGGAGAGACCACCAAACAGGCTTTGTGTGAACAATAAATCTTTTTAATCACCTGAGTGCAGGCAGACTGAGTCTGAAAAAGGAGTCAGCAAAGGGAGATAGGGGTGGGGCAGTTTTATAGGATTTGGTTAGGTAGCGGAAAATTATAGTTAAAGGGGGTTGTTATCTTGGGGGCAGGGGTGGGGGTCACAAGGTGCTTGGTGGGGGAGCTCCTGAGATTCATTGTCCAGGAGAAGGAATGTCACAAGGTTAACTGATCATTTAAGGTGGGGTAGGAACAAATCATAGTGGTGGAATGTCATCAATTAAGGCAGGAACTGCCTATTTTCACTTCTTTTGTGGTTCTTTGGTTGCTTCAGGCCATCTGGATGTATATGTGCAGGTCACAGGGAATATGATGGCTTAGCTTCAGCTCAGAGGCCTGACATTCCTGTCTTTTTTTTTTTTTTTTTTTTTGAGATAGAGTTTTGCTCTGTTGCCCAGGCTGGAGTGCAGTGGTGTGATCTGAGCTCCCTGCAAGCTCCATCTCCCAGGTTCATGCCATTCTCCTGCCTCAGCTTCCTGAGTAGCTGGGACTACAGGTGCCCACCACCATGTCTGGCTAGTTTTTTGTATTTTTAGTAGCAACAGGGTTTCACTGTGTTAGCCAGGATGGTCACATTCTCCTGACCTTGTGATTCACCTGCCTTGGCCTCCCAAAGTGCTGGGATTATAGGCACAAGGCACCGTGCCCAGCCCCTGTCTTCTTATATTAATAAGAAAAACAAAACAAAATAGTAGTGAAGTGTTGGGGTCACGAAAATTTTTGAGGGTGGTATGGAGAGATAATGGGTGATGTTTCTCAGGGCTGCTTCGAGCGGGATTAGGGGCAGCATGGGAACTTAGGTTGGGAGAAATTAAATTGAAGAAAGATTTTGGGGTAAGGGGTGATATTGTGGAGTTGTTAGAAGGAACATTTGTCATATAGAATGACTGGTGATGACCTGGATGCGGTTTTGTATGAATTGAGAAACTAATCGGAAGACACAAGGTCCAAATAAGAAAAGGAGAAAAACAGGTATTAGGGGACTAAGAATTGGGAGGAGCCAGGACATCCAATTAGAAAGTGCCCAGGGAGGTCCAGCATAATTATTTGCCTGGTTGGCGAGTTTTGGGGCTCTATCTTTGAGTTTTTTATGTTGCCATATACCAGGCCAGATTGATTTAGGTAAAAACAACACTCTTCATTTAAAAATATACAGAGTCCTCCTTTTTCAGCACTGAGTAAATTAAGGCCTATTCCTGCCTTCTTATATTAATGAGAAAATTAAAACAAAATAGTGGTGAAGTGTTGGTGTCATGAGGGGAACAGGAAGCTGTTCGGTCCTATTTGCAAATTGATTTTTGGGGGTAAGGAAAACTAGTGTACATGTACCTGTCCAATTAATAGGTAGACACATGTAGGTGGAGGAGCCACAGAGGAAGAAGAGACCTTTGTAAGGCAAAACTGGAAATGTAAAGTGAAAAGATGAGAGGGAGCACCAAAAGAGGTGTCTTGCACCGAGACTCTTAGGGATATAGCGAAGGCAGCAGCCATTAGAGGTTGTAATGGGGATTGATGGGGCAACTGGGTAGAGAGGGAGGTTTGATTTTTATGGTGTACAAGAAAGCACATAGTGTCTACAAGCAACCTTTCATTGCTATTCATGGGGTTGGGTATAAGTAAACAAGAAGGGGGGCTGGGAGGAGAGTCTGAAGAACAAGGGGCAAATGTCTTCAAGGAAATGAGAGGTTCTAAGAAGCGGACTAGTGGCTTGTAACCCGTATGGAAGAGGTTACAAAAGGATGATAAAATGGAATGAGCCTGTGAGGCTGGAAGGAGGAATTTTTCTTGGTCCAAGAACCATTTGCCTTGTGTGGGAAGAGATTGATAGGTGGAAGTTTCAGTGGGATAGTGGGTGGGAGTGACCGATGAGAAGGAGAAAAACTGGCCATGAGGGACAGAAGTTAGAACGCTAGCTGCTTCTTTAGCTATCTTATCAGCATAAGCATTGCCCTGAGCAATGGAATCTGATGCCTTTTGATCGCCCTTGCAGTGAATGACCCCAGCTTCCTTGGAAGTAGAGAAGCTTTAAGTAGAGTTTTTATTAAGGAGGCATTAATGATGGAGGATTCTTGTGTAATGGGGAAACCTCTTTCAGCCCATATAACAACATGGTGGTGAAGGATGTGGAAGGCATACTTGGAATTGGTATAAATATTGACACACAGTCCTTTTGCAGGAATCAGGGCTTGAGTTAAGGCAATGAGTTCGGCTTGCTGAGAGGTATTGTAGAGGGGCAGAGCGGTAGCCTCAATGATAGATGTGGAAGACACTATAACATAGACTGCTTTTGCCGGTGATTGGCGATTGGGCCTGGAAGAACCACCAACAATAAACCAAGTGTGGTCTGGGTGGGGAACAGGAAAGAGGGAAATATGGGGAAATGGGGAGAATGCCATGTGGATTAGAGCAATAGAGTCATGGGGTTTAGATGTAGTATCAGGAATAAGATGAGAGGCCAGATTGAAGTCTGGGCCAGGAACAATGGTAATTGTGGGAGATTTAACAAATAGTGAGTACAGTTGAAGGAGCCAGGGGGCAGAAAGTATATGCATCAAGTATGAGGAGGAAAATAGATTTTGAAAGTTATGAGAACTGTAGAGAGTAAGTGGAGCATAGCTTGTGATTTTGAGGGCCTTTAAACGTATTAAAGTGGCAGCAGCCGCTGCACACAGATATGAGGGCCAGCCTAAAACAGTAAAGTCAGGTTGTTTGGAGAGGGCGCAGTCCTGACTCTTGTGTAAAAATTCCAGCCGCACAGCCCTGTACTTTGGCTGTGTGTAATGAAAAGGGTTGGGATGAGTTAGAGAGAGCTAGTGTGGGAGAAGCTTCTAGGGCTGTTTTTAAGGAACGGAAAGAGGAGTGGGGAAAGGATCTAGGATCTATGGGGTCAGCTAGGTTTCCTTTTGTGAGTTTATATAATGGTTTAGTCAGGATGGCAAAACCAAGTTTTCAAAGGCAAAAGTACCTAACCATGCCTAGGAAGGAAAGGAGTTGTTGCTTTGTAGAAGGGGTTAGGGTTTGGGAGATTAGCTGGACACGATCAGCAGGGAGAGCATGTGTGTTTTTATGAAGAATTATGCTGAGATAGGTAATGGATGAGGAAGAAATTTGGGCTTTGGAGGGGGATATGTGATATCCTTTTGAGAATAGATGTTGGAGGAGCAGGAGGGTGTCCTGTTGGGAAGATTTGTAGGAGGGGCTATAAGATGGAAGGTCATTAAAATATTAAGGTGAGAAGCAGATGGACAAAAAGAAAGTAAATCATGAGAAAGGGCTTGACTGAAATAATGGGGGCTGTCTGTGAAGCCTTGTGGCAGTACAGCCCAGGTAAGTTGCTGAGACTGATGGGTGTCAGGATCAGTCCAAGTGAAAGCGAAGAGAGGTGGGAATGAAGGGTGTAAAGGAATAGCAAAGAAAGCATCTTTGAGATCCAGAACAGAATAACGGCTTGTGGAGGGAGGTATTGAATATAGGAGAGTATATGGGTTTGGCACCACGGGGTGGATAGGCAGGACAATTTGGTTGATAAGGCAAAGATCCTGGACCAACCTGTAAGACTTGTCAGGTTTTTGGACAGGTAGGATAGGAGACTTCTAAGGAGAGTTTGTAGGCTTTAAAAGGCCATGTTGTAACAGGCGGGTGATAACAGGCTTTAACCCTTTTAAAGTGTGCTGTGGGATGGGGTATTAGCATTGAGTGGGGTAAGGGTGATTAGGTTTTAATGGGATAGTAATGAGTGTGTGATCGATCGCCAGGGAGGGAGGAGAGGTGTCCCATACTTGTGGGTTAAAGTTGGGGGATACAAGAGGAAGGTGCGAAGGAGGCTTTGAACTGGGGAAAACGGTGGCGATGAGTTGTGGCTATAGCCCAGGAATAGTCAGGAAAGCAGATAATTTAGTTAAAATGTCTCAACCAAATAAGGGAGCTGGGCAGGTGGAGATAACTAAAAAGGAGTGCATAAAAGAATGTTGTCCAAGTTGGCACCAGAGTTGGGGAGTTTTAAGAGGTTTAGAAGCCTGGCCATCAATACCCACAACAGTTATGGAGGCAAGGGAAACAGGCCCTTGAAAAGAAGGTAATGTGGAGTGGGTAGCCCCTGTATTGGTTAAGAAGGGGATGGACTTAGCCTCCACTGTAAGAGTTACCCAAAGCATCTGTGATGGTCCAGGAGGCTTCCAAGGGGATTGGGCAGTGTCAGTCTTCAGCCGCTAAGCCGAGAAGGTCTGGGAAGGAGTCAGTCAGAGAGCCTCAGGCCAGAGTTCTGGGGGCTCTGGGAGTGGCTGCTGGGTGAGTTGGATAGTTTGATTTCCAGTGGGGTCCTGCACAGATGGAACTTGGCTTAGGAGGAATCCTGGGCGGCAGGCATTCCTTGCCCAGGGCCAGATTTCTGGCACTTGAGGCAAGTACCTGGGGGAGGAGGTCCTAGAGGAATGCCTGGCTGCTGCAGTTTAGGCATTTTGAAGTTCTTGTGTGCTGGAGATGTGGTTGGGGTTTCTCTTACAGTAGAGGCAAGTAATTGCAACTCAGAAATATGTTGCTGCTTGGCTGCCTCTTCTCTATTATTGTACACCTTGAAGGCGAGGTTAATTAAGTCCTGTTGTGGGGTTTGAGGGCCGGAATCTAATTTTTGGAGCTTTTTCTAATGTCAGGAGCGGATTGGGTAATGAAATGCATATTGAGAATAAGACGGCTTTCTGGCCCCTCTGGGTCTAGGGCGGTAAAGCATCTAAGGGTTTTTGCCAAATGGGCCATGAACTGGGCTAGGTTTTTATATTTGATGAAAAAGAGCCTAAACACTAACTGATCTGGGAGAGGTTGGATAAAGAAAAAGGAGCATTGGCCGGGCGTGGTGGCTCATGCCTGTAATCCTAGCACTTTGGGAGGCCAAGGTAGGCAGATCACAAGGTCAGGAGATTGAGACCATCCTGGATAACACGGTGAACCCTGCCTCTACTAAAAATAGAAAAAAAAAATTAGCCAGGCGTGGTGGCGGGCACCTGTAGTCCAAGCTACTTGGGAGGCTGAGGCAGGAGAATGGCGTGAACCTGGGAGGCGGAGCTTGCAGTGAGCCGAGATTGCGCCACTGCACTCCAGCCTGGGCGACAGAGCAAGACTCTGTCTCAAAAAAAAAAAAGAAAGAAAAAAAAGAAAAAGGAGCGTTAACCTTGAATATGCCTTCAGCTCCTGCCACCTCTCTAAGAGGAAATTGTTGGGCAGGTGAGGGAGAGCTAATCATGGAACAAAACTGTAAGCCATACCGGGTGTGAGGGGAGGTGATAGAAGGGTTATAGAGTGGGGAAGCAGAGGCTGAGGAAGAATTGGGACCTGGCTGGGCCTGGTGAGGAGCAGCCTGGGGAGGAGGGGGAGAGGTCAGATGGGTCCATAGAAAAGGAGGATTCAAAGGACTCAGAGCTTGGGGTGGAGACTGAAGGAACAGCCAGGAGAGAAAGAAGAAAGATTTGGGACAAGTTGCATTGGGAGCAGAGACTAGGGAGGGACCTATGTGTAAAAGAATGCCTGGACGTCAGGCACCTCAGACCATTTGCCCATTTTTCAACAAAAATCATCCAGGTCTTGTAAGATGGAGAAATCAAAAGCGCCATTTTCTGGTCATTTAGAACCATGGTCAAGTTTGTATTGGGGCCAAGCAGCATTGCAGAAGAAAATAAGTTGTTTAGGGTTTAGGTCAGGTGTGAGTTGAAGAGGTTTTAAGTTCTTGAGAACACAAGCTAAGGGAGAAGAAGGGGGAATGGAGTGTGGAAGATTGCACATAGTGAAGGAGGTAAGTTTAAAGAGAAAGGTAGAGACATGGAGAAGGGGGTGGTGAGGAGCCAAAGCAGGCATCCCCACAATTGACTTGCCACCAAGGGAATGTGGGTGAATGACCAAGGCAGGCGTCCCCGTGGTGATCAGACACCAGTGGATGAATGGTAGGTGAATGATCAGGGCAGGCATCCCCGCACTGATCAGACACCAAGGGAAGACTGTCGTCTTGAGTCTGTGACCGGCACCAGAGTTTTGGGTCCACGGATAAAATGTGTCTCCTTTGTCTCTACTAGAGAGGAAAAAGAACTGGAATTGGAAGGACAGGGAGATTGAAGGGTAGCGAGAGAGGCTGGAGAAGAGAGTGAAGAAATCGCTTACCTGATTTGAAATTGGTGAGATGTTCCTTGGGCTGATCTGAGGACCCAAGGTCATAGGTGGATCTCCTCATGGAGTGAGGGTGAGGACAGGGGAACGGTCTCCCGAAAGGAGTCCCCTGTCCCAGGTCTTTGGCACCAATTGTCATGCGCCTCCATGTGAAGAGACCACCAAACAGGCTTTGTGTGAGCAATAAAGCTTTTTAATCACCTGGGTGCAGGTGGACTGAGTCCGAAAAGAGAGTCAGCAAAGGGAGATGGGGTGGGGTAGTTTTATAGGATTTGGGTAGATAGTGGAAAATTATAGTTAAAGGGGGTTGTTCTTTTGCAGGCAGGGGCAGGGGTCACAAGGTGCTTGGTGGGGGAGCTCCTAAGATTCATTGTCCAGAAGAGGGAATGTCACAAGGTTGACCAGTTAGGGTGGGGCAGGAACAAATCACAATAGTGGAATGTCATCAGTTAGGACAGGAACTGCCTATTTTCACCTCTTTTGTGGTTCTTCAGTTGCTTCAGGACATCTGGATGTATATGTGCAGGTCACAGGGGATATGATGGCTTAGCTTGGGCTCAGAGGCCTGACAATTATGATATCAAATATTCTCAACCTCTTATCCTCTCATTATTTTGGTAACATTTCTTCATAGCACCTGGCATTTTCAGAACTGCACTTTTTCTCAGTTATATTCATTTTTTAAACTTGGATTTAAAAGAAAGCCTTGGAAAAAAACAGACTATTTTTCCTACTATGTTTGGTAGTAAACAAGGCAACTGGGCACATGAGTCTTTCTGCGTTTGATTTCTCTTGTGGTGAAGGAGTTTCTGAGATTGTCTTTGTGGTCAACGTTTAGCTCTTAATCAGGTTAGGAATACTCATTTGAGCAAATGGCTTTATTTCATTTTTTTGAGCTAGCTCTGATGTTACCTACATATTTGGAGTGGCATTTTTTTTTTTGAAATGAATTAATAAAATACAGAAATACCTAGAAAAATATTGTATTCTGTGTGAACAAAATGGTGACCCTGCCAAGGAAGGCTTTTCAAATCTTCAGAACAGTCCATTCATTTAATGACAATTTTAATTTACTGAAATTTTACAAAATTTTAATTTACTGAAAGCTTATTATGTATCAGCTCCTTCATATGGTTTATGTTATTTAATCCTGTGAACAGCACAGGGAATTTGGAATTATTAATATTATCATTTTTAAAGATGACTAATGCTAAGAGAGGTTAAATAACATTCCTAAGGTGACACAATTTATGAGTCATGAGTGAGACTCAAACTATATTTTTGAGTATTAATTTGCTTTATTTATTTATTTTCTTCTTAGTTTTTTTTTTTACTAAAATTGAGGTGCATTATACTTATAAAATTTAGCACCTTCACCATTTCTAAGGGTAGAGTTCAGTGAAGATTCAAATTTGAATTTAATTCTCAAATTTGTGTTTGTAATCCCTATATTATCCTACACTGAATCCAGATGATAAAACACCAACTGAAAAAACCTCAAGTAGAACAAAATAAGAGTCAATTTTTATATAATAAAACCAAGGATGAATCAATGTTAGTAAAATTATGAATATGCTATGTTATCCTAGAAAATTCAAAGAATTGTATGAGATAAATAGATGATAAACATAGTCAGTCATCTTTGTATAATACCAGTTATACAATTTCTTATGGAAAATTAATTGCACACATTTTTTCTTCCCTAGAGCATTGAACTTTATTTTTTAAAAAAATCCATTTGCGAAACTCTGCTTTGGAGCCTGGAATATTAAACTGTCATCTCACAACCAAAAAAGGACAAGAGTAAAATGAAAATGGATCCTATCCCAAATAACTTAAAGTTTTTTTGGCATTGTTTAATATTTGGAGGGAAATAAGTGAGCTGTAATAGAGCAGAAAGCTCCTTGCTGTCATGATTTGACTACTGCTTTTAACCCCAGAATTAAACAGAGCAGGCAAAACACATTTCCTACAGCCCACAATGAAGTAATATTCAGTCTTGCAGCACCGTTTTTGGAGGCAAGTACACTATCTTTAAATCTACTCTTTTTTGTCAAAACCCTTAAGCAGGAGACCTCATCCAGTGTGGTCACAGCACAGTCAATCTGTTACTTAAAGAATATTTCTTTTGCATTGGTGGACCCCAAATGCCTGCTCTATTGAAATTATAGAGTGAAATGTTCTTAAGCCTTATTCTATTTGGCAAATCAGTGTTTTAAAAGAAAGAATTTAGAGTAATGTTTCGAAAGGTGGAATTTAGAGAGTTGTAGCAGAATGCCATCTACATGGAACATACTTAGCCACTTGCTGTTGTAAAGAGATGTTTTTCCCATCCATTTGCAAGTTGTTTTTTTAATTTAAAGAAATTGCTGTTGAATAAGACACTCTCCTGTCTTTCATGCCACATTCTCTTACCTTTTTTTTCCTTAGTTTGCATTTTAAGAGACATTTGCATGAGAACAAATCCTCTTCATTTGAAGCTTTAGCTGTTTGAACTTCTGACGGATTGACCTCCAGTCGTAATTATTGATGCGGAAGCTTCAAAAGGCTGCAATACCCCATCCTTTATCTTAGGCTCCATTCCCTTTATCTGATACATTCCTTGCTGTTAACCTCAATGGCAGTCCTACCTTTCACTGACTCTAGGAAAGCCTCAGCTCCCTTTCCCCTTCTTTTGACCTTTGGTCAGTGGCCTCATAATTTGCCTGAAATGGTTAGCTTTTCACTTGGAAATGTTTGGCAACAGTCATTTTGCTGGCTGCTCCCAGTTATTGCTGCCTTCAGACGTGCCTTCCTATAAGGCCACAGGCTTCCCAGTGTGGCAGCAGTTTCATGTTTCCATTGTACAATGGCACCTGCTAACTTATAACCGTTGTTGAAGAATTAACTTGTTTTTCTTGAGATGCTTCCTTGACCCTCCTGACCTGGGCAGGTGTCTTTGCCTTGCACTACCACAGCATCTTGTGCTTCTACCATCATAAGGCTCATCACATTGCTGCAACTGCTTATTTAAATTTCTGTAAACTCCATAGAAGTAAAGATTACATTAAGCTTATTTATATCCTCAACCTGCTAACACAGTGCCTCATGTTTAGTAAGTGCTCAATAAGTATTTATTGAATGAATGAATATTGATCAACTATTATGTGTGTGGCACTTTGTCAGGCTCCATTGGTGAAGTCCACTAAAAGCAGAAACATGTGTTCAATTTTTTGCAAGTAGTTATTTGCATGTCTGGAGCTGTCCAGCTCATATTTATCTGTTCCACAAACAAGCAATGAAGGGGATGTGGGGGCAAAGAGATGGGGGTAGGTATTTCAGAAGAATAAACTCATACACAGACACAGCGGTAGGGAAATGAGAAAGAACAGGTGAGAGGTCTGAGGTGGCTTCCAAGCCACCTCAGCCCTAAACAATTTTTGTTTTTCCTGCTATCCCAGGCCTATGGAAGTCTACAAGTTTCACCTCAAATTCACTTATTACAGGATGTTTTTCATGTTTTCTGGAAAGCTATATTCTTTGAGTACCTTTAGAGTTTTGTACAACTTTTATGGAACTGAGTTATTTTGAATTGTAATCAGTTGTGTGCATACTACTGTATCTTACCTGCTCAACTGTAAACTCTGAGTTGAGAGTCTGTCTCTTACTCATCTCTGCATCTTCTGCTCAACATAGAAATTGACCACATTGTAGGTACACATTGTTATTATATTACTCTTTAATTTTAGGGTGAACATTCTCATTAGTGTTGCATAGCTGAAAGAAATGAAGAATGCTCCCTTCTTTAGGTTTAGTCCACCAAATATCCGTCTCTGCAGCTGTTTGGCTTTATGGACCAACATATCTAGCCATTGGTAATTTAGCACTGGGCTTGCTTGAAGGCTTGTGTATGAAGTTTCAATACTGTGAGAAGCAAAGTGGTATCTACCATTATTTAAAAATCAACAACAAATAGGTAAAAAAAAATTTACATATGATTTTTAAGCTAGAGGAAAAAACCGTGTTTGAATTAGAAAGTAAAAATGTTAACCACAGAAATAGATTTTTGTTCCTTCTTCTTTGCAATTTCTTCAGCTGGAGAAAGTTGGGATAGTCATGAAGGATACTTGCAATATCTGAAAGCACCAGCTTCCCATTGACATGGTGCAACTAGACTGTGCCTTTAGCTATATGCTGGCAAGAATCCTATACTGCCCCTGCAACATCAAACAGTTAGGAAGCTAGGAGATTTCTATTTCTCATAGCTTAGCTGTGTGATCTTCAATGTCAGGTAATTCGTACAGACCTTATTCCCATAATTTTTTAAAGAAAGCATTTCAATTAGATGATCTTTAGGATCCCTTCCAGCTTCAGATTTCTAGGTTTTTCTGATATTTTAGGAAAAACAAGGATAAAGATGATTGACGTAAATTTTCTTTCCATATTATGCTTGTGGTTAGTCTTACTGCAATGGGACCTATTATGGCTGGGCTTTCCATAATATGAAAAGGAAGAAAATTCATAGTCATTATTTCCCTTTAAGCATTTGCTTTGTTCTACAGGGTAAGGGTTTTCCAAGTTCTGTACATTGCATGTATTACCCAGAAATGGTGCATATGGTAATAAAAGTGAGAGTCAAAAGGTCCAGGTGAGTTCTTTCTTCTCTCAAAAAGACAATAGACTCAATTGTAATTTTCAGCACATTTTGAAATAGCTTATACTTAATTCCTTAATTTGTTTCATTGAGTTACACTTTTTTTTTTCAAAGGAGGAGCACATAAAGAATGTATAATTTGTTTGGGTTTCTAATACCGCCATTTATCTCTTCATTTCTAATGGCACTGAATGATAATAATGTATGTTAGAAAGTGGGGAGATAGTATAAAATGTCTTTGCTCTGAAATTTTTAAGAGATTCCTTAAGATAATTGAGGATACCAAAGAGGGATATGAAAATAGAAATGAAAACTCACTCTCTTCTGCTTATAGAAAAACATTTAAGCACTAAGAGGGGGTGAACAAGTGGAGAGAGAAATTTAAAAAAAGGGAGAAGGTGAGAGAGACATTGGTTAGTATTGTTCTCTTAAAATTTTGGAAAATAAGTACATTGAACTTTTGTTTTGCAAAGTAGGTGATTTTATTGAGTCTTTAAAATATAGCATCTCATTTTGAGTAATTTTAAATTTTAAAGTTTTTAGAAGATTTCAAATTTCAATTCTGTCAAACAGAATTCAATTTAAAATATATATTTAATTCCATATATAAGTGCTAAAACTGAAATGATGTTGTTTTTTTCATAACACCTGAGATTAAATAATTTTCACTTACTAATTTAAACACTTTTCATAGAACTCTTAATCCATTTGTTTCTCCATTTCCACAAGTTAAAAGAAAAAAAAATCATCTAGTAAATTTTACCTATTGTTTATTTTTCTCTGTATGTGGTTGCTTATATGATACCAACCTAAAACTGTTGGGTACACAATTCTTCAAAGTTTAGTTCCATTGTTTTACATCACCACCATTTTGCTCCATAAATCCCTCATAAAAAATTTGTCAAAGTGTATAATTTGTAAAACTGAATAATTTTACTTCAATCCAAGAATAGCTTTTTCCTACAGAACACTCTATTTTGTGTCAAAAAAATATGTAATAGGACCAAATGAACAAGTTTGACACCAATCAGAACTCCTGCTCTTAAGTTTGACTCCCTTCATTTCATACTGTATGGGGCACACTTTGTACTGTATTTGGCCCTGTAGGCACTTTAACTTAAAGATCCGATTTAGCTTAACTCTTAAATATGCTCCTACATCTCATCTTCTAATAATACATTTCCCTTTTGGGAGACTTTGGGAAAAAAGAGAACTTACTGTACTCTAGCAAGAGTTACATATACAGGAAAGTAGGGCAAGACCAAGCAGGTAGGTAAGTGTAGACCAGCACTTGAGATGCTTTAAAACTTCCAGAAACTGTCTTCTTGAGCAGAAATTGTTTTACGGTAGAAGCCTCCAGGGCCGGAAAGGCATGGGCTTCAAGCCATTTTCTGCCAGGTCAAAGGGTCGATCACAGTTGGGAAAAGACATTTTCATTTTCAACCACAAAATTGCTCTTCATTTCTGCAAAACAACATGGAAAGTGAAACTGGAAGCAAGCCAGGCACTTTGCTGGGTTTGCTTTGGGTGTGAATTTGTTCACATAGCTCTAAGTTCAGAACATAATGTTATGCTCTAGAAATGCCATAGTGTATTGTTAGAGGATGTAATGTCACACTGAGGACCATTTATTTCGCAAAAGGAATGTTAGTTGCTAAAATGCAACCAAATACTGTATGTGGGTATGTGTGTGTGTGCATGCATGTGTTTACATTACATGTACATGAAAATACTCTAAATTTTTTATTTAAAGACATGAAAAGATAGCATCTTAAACAGCCACAGAACTAGAAAGCTAAATTCCTTCACTTTTTATTTAGAGGCAGAATTTCTTTGAATACCTGATTTACCTCTAGAGTAGGAGAGAAGAGTATGGATTGCTCTTGGTGAATTCTTCCTCCTGCTATAACTATTGAGATAAATCACTGGATGAGATGCCCCTATGTTTGCAACAAAGCCTGCATTTCTGAGCTGAGAGTATAACATGAATATTTTGTCAAAAATAATTTAAATGTCGTAGTCTCTAGTTTTTTAATGCCTGATACATTTGTCCATGTTTTATTAATGTCTCCCAGACCTACAGATAGCAGATTCTCAGCAGCATACTTAACATGATTGCCTTTTTTGCACTTTCAGAGCATTGAGTTTGGAGAGAGGAGCTTCAGTGCAAAGTAATGGAGCTTAACACCCTGATTTAAGGTGGGACTCCTTCGTAGCACCCTTGTGCCATTTCATTACTATAGGTTTGCTCTTCTCAGCTAAGTTGCAGATTATTCCTGGGATGAGCTTGTTTTTTTGTCTTTTGTTTTTTATCTCTTCCATACTTTTTCATAGCACTCAGGATATCTGCACACAGTAGGCATTAAAGTATATGCTTAATAATTAAGAACATATTTTCAGTGTTGGTACAGTAAATATTATAATCCAATCGTTGTGGAAGGCTGGAAATTCTTTTGTTTGCTTGGCTGGCTCCTGCTAAAAAAGCTTCTGGGTGCTTGGGGACCTCACGTTCCACTAGGTCCTGGAGGAGACAGCTCTATCCTGTGGCACTTAGCCGTGAGACTAGCTGAACTCATTTTTGGACTGCCAACCCCAGAATTCAGCAACCCAGTCAAAACCAATGAATTTGGTCTTCTTAACCCTTAAAAAAAAAACCAAAAATGGTAGAAAAATGACATTTTGATTTTAAAATGCATTTCCCACAATACTTCATGGGTGAAGTCTTGAAGAAAGGATTATCTTGTTCCCATTTTAAAAGCAAACAAACTCCTGGTTTATTTGACAATTGAGCACTTCTTAGCTCCAGGCATGTCCTCTGGCCTCTCCCCTGTAAAGCAAGCTTTCTCTGACCTGGGTTAACAGACTTAACAAATGAGGAGAGGGAAGGCCCTTTCTTGGACTTCAAGCTAGGTGGTGGAAGAGAGAAAAGCATGCAATTTCTAATGGGGGGTGTGGAGAGGTCCTGATGAAGATTACATGTAAGTGATATTGAGGAAATTTTCTCAAAGGCTCTTCACAAGAATACCTTTGGAAAGTACAATTAAAAAGTAGATAGAGTCATCTATTTTCTTCACGTAAGTTCAAGATATTTTTTTCACAGGTGATTCATAAACAACTTCATCAATTTAAAAAATGTCTGTTGATATTTCTCTCTCCTTCCTTCCCTCCTTCCTTCCTTCCTTCCTTCCTCTCTCTCTCTGTCTCTTCTTCCTTCCTTCCTTCCTTTCTTCCTTTCTTATCAGAGACAGGGTCTTCCTCTGTCACCCAGACTGACATGCAGTGGCTCAATCAAGGCTCACTCAAGCTCCTGGGGTCAAGTGATCCTCCTGCCTCAGCCTCCCAAGAAGCTGGGACAGCATATGTACACCACCACGCTCGGCTAGCTTTTTTTAATGTTTTGTAGAGACAGGGTCTCCCTTTGTTGCCTAGGCTGGTCTCAAACTCCTGGGCCCAAGCTATCCCCCTGCCTTGGCCTCTCAAAGTGTTGAGATTACAGGCACATGCCCTGCACCTGGCTGATATTTTCTTTATGTTTTTAATGTCATCAGCTTTTACATTAAATGTCATAAAACACTTTGTAGTTCCTCAATTTCATATTTCCACAGTTCCTACTTTTGGAATGTAACCTAAAATGTTCAGCAGAGCCTCACTCAGTGAGTACAGTGCAGTAGTGCATTCAAAGCTAATTAAGAGAGAGAATGAATCAGTTGTTTTCATCCACGAATAAGGACACCTGCACTGATAGGTGTAATCCATTCATCAACCAACCCAAGTGCTTGTCTTATGCACAGGTGGCAGTGTTGTTTTCTGTAAGGCTCTTAAATCTCTCTTTTGTTGGTAGGAAATCAAAGGAGTGTGATTTTTAGAAGGCACTGGGGCTATGGCTTAGCCAAACTGTTTTGCTGATCCAAGACAAATTCTTAATGCAAATTAATTCACCACTACACATTCCAAAAGCTGACACCACGTTTAATTTAGATGGTGTCCTTTTTGTATCTTGGGGTCACTGTAGTATAGATACTAAATGGGCATCTAAAATATTTGGGCTTTCACAATTGGGAAACACCAGGTGCAGAAATCTAAGAGTGAAATTTATGGAGTTCCTACGGGAAATTTTGGCATTGTGGTCAAGACCAGAGTTTCCCAAACTTTAGTGTGGGTCTGAATGGTCTGAAAAGCTTATCAAACCAGATTAATAAATCTCAATCTCATAGTATCTGATTCGGAAGGCGAGGTCTAAAGAATCTGTGTTTCTAACAAGTTCCCAGGCGATGCTGCTGCTGCTGCTGGTCTTGGACTGCACTGTGAGACCCATTGGTCTATATCCCAGTATACCCCACTATATTCTAACCCCACTAAAGATTCCTCTCAGCCTCCTGGCAGATTTGGAAAAGTTGAAACAAATGGGTGCTAGAGTTAAACAGGATGAAGAGGTGCAGAGATGCTCTGGGCTGATTGGTAGGCCACACATAGAAATGAAGGAAACTACAAAATCTAAAGACTTCTTTCTTTGCTACTGAGATTTATCTCTGCTTAGCTCTATAAAAGAAAGCAAAGTTGACATTTATGTGATGGCAAACCATAAGGCACCCACTGCCAGCATGAGCAGTTCTGACTACCCACTGTTATTTTTAAATGTTTCAGACACCCTGGGAGAGAGTGCAAAAAAACAGACTCCTGATCTAAACAATATGAGAAAAAGGATTCCAGATAGTTCATTTCACACAAAGGCATTTTTTTCCCACTAATGCAGGTTAGAAGACACTGTAATATAGCAGCAATTATTTTAGCAAGGAAAAAAAGACATAAAGGGCCTTTTCATAAAGATTTTCAGACCTAAATATCTTACCACTATTTACCAATGAAGTTGAAATGTGGGTTATTTTATTTGGGAGCCTTTGTTGTTCATGGGAAAGGTAAGAAATGCTGTGTACAACATGCGGTTTTTATAAAAAGGTACCTTTGTTCAAAACATCTAAACAATTTGTGCCCACCCCCACAGACCTTCAGCAACTAAGGATGATGGTCTTTGTGCCCAAGGTAAGGTGCACATATGAACATTTTGGTTGCATTTTCTGGGTACCATAAGTCCAAAAGGAGAACTCTGATTTACAGTCAACAGCTCCAACAAGTGACCCTTGGCAGAAAGGGTCTGCTTTTTCAGCTGGCGCTGTTGTTGAAGTTCAGAGGAATAGCTCATCTGTCTCTATTTCAGGCATCTGGCAAATGGAGAACTGTTTCAGCATTCTCCATTCCACTAAACGCTTACAGATGACTTCCATATTCTGGAGCATCTGCTGGTTATCTCATTTTGAGTTACTTTTCCCGTTGTGTTTTGAAAAGACTCTCTCTCTAGCTTTTATTTTGTAAGTCCATTATTGTTGCTGTCTTGGTGTTTGAGGAGATCAACAGATGTGCCTGGTGTTACCTCAGGAGATAGGCCAAACCTGTGGATAATCTGAAAAGAGAAACAGTGATTTTGTTAAAAAAGAAACAAAAAATTAAATTAATTAAAAACTGAGCTGAATCACAATTGTAAAATATATTCAGGAAATGATTCATGGGCCAAAAGTAAACAGTCATCAATAATTTTGGGATCTTTTTTTGAAAGTTCTTATAAACAGTACTCAAAGAACTACATACTTACACAGTTGCTATATGTGATGCATGTACATAATTTAAGTGTTATTTTGAATTTATTATTGTAAGTGAATGCACTCATTTTTATTTCTTACCGATGCTTGCCTGGTTGAGTGCTTTGCTCTATACCTTGTAAAATGTCAAAACGGCCAAATATCTGGGTTCTTCTTGAGGGAATTTTTCTTCATTTTCATAAAAGACAGACACTTACAACTCATAATATATCCGAGCGCCTTCATTTGCCTTTTAGAGCACGTGAATGGTGTTCTGCATATATTAAGGCTTTTCTTACTTCCAGTTAATCAGCTATATGGGGCACTTACACATGAATTTGAATATTAATGTGTTTTTAAAAGCAGGGTGACTAGTACCATTAAAATCACGATTTTGAATTGATTAATGCCCAATGAAGATTTCTTCGATGCAAGCTACTAATTGGACAACAAGGAAGGGTGTTCTAATTGCAATCATTTTCTTCAGAAGAGAAAGCACAATGGGCATGTGATTAGCTAATAGTCTTGTTTTCTTAAATTTTGGAGATCTTCAAATGCAGAAAACGTTAAATAACAACATAAAGACACCCATAATAATGCATAATATTTAAAACTTACCACTTAGTCATATTTGCCTTATCGTTTTTTAAAGAGACAAACATTACAGATTTAGCCAAAGTCTCCATAACCACGTTTCATCATTCTATTATTTATACTCACTTCCCAGAGACAACATCTATCATGAGGTTAATGCGCTTGGTTTCTAGTCCATTTCTCATACTTCTACATACATATTCTATGTATTTATCCAAGGCAATATTCTTGACCAATATTAAAAAAAATCTTTAAAAAACCCTGTATATATAAAATATCTTGTATCTGTTATTTCGTAAAGAATTAGACATTTTCTATTACTAAAGCCACAGAAAACCCAAAACTTCTAAGAAGTCATAGCTTTTCTTATCTGTATAATCTTTAATAGAATATATGACAGTGATAATCACAGGAACATCTGTCTGGGCTTCTTTGGAACTTCTCATTGGATGCAAAGATTAATTTAAGGTGTTGGACTGTTGCTTGGACACAGACCAGAGGACAAAGCATGAAGGCCAGTTACATTCAAGAGTATTGTCAGGGAAACAAAACCGTCATGTTCTTTATTTGTGAAAATTAGGCAAAATAGATTTTAGTAGCAGCTTGAAAAAACATTTTTGCCATCTTCAGAAGGGGTTGGGTTACTATATTGACATTACCTCCCACTAAGAGAAATATCAATTTCTGCCCTTTGTTTCAGAAGACACCACCACTGATGGTAATCTCTGTCTTTGTATAGGGTGAACTTTAAAAAGACTAAAGTGAGGCTGAGTGTCCTTGCCATATCCGGGGAAAAGATTGTCTTTTTTTTTTTCAGCAGTCAGATGTTGTCTATAGCTTACATGTAGCCTAACAAAAAAGAGCCTCTGCATTTCCGATTGCTCTGTGTCTTACTCATTACTATTATTCTGAGTATTTCAAGGAATTAACACTTTTGCTAAAAATGATAAACAATGTCTCAGTTCATCTAGTACAGGGGTCTCAACCCCCAGGCCATGGACCAGTATCAGTCCGTGGCCTGTTAGGAACTGGGCTGCACAGCATGGGGGGGAGGGTCAGGTGAGCAAGCAAAGCTTCATCTGTATTTAAAGCGGCTTCCCATCACTCGCATTAGTGCCTGAGCTCGGCCTCCTGTCAGATCAGTGGCAGCATTAGACTTTCATAGTAGCATGAATCCTGTTGTGAAATGTACATGTGCAGCATCTAGGTTGCACACTCCTTATGAGAATCTAATGCCTGATGATCTGTCACTGTCTTCCATCACCCCCAGAAGGAACTGTCTAGTTGCAGAAAAACAAGCTCAGGGCTCCCATTGATTCTACATTATTTGCATAATTATTTAATTATATATTACAATGTAATAATAGTAGAAATAAAGTGCACAATAAATGTAATGTGCTTGAATCCATCCCGAAACCATCCCTCTGCACTCCCCCCAAACCATGGAAAAATTGTCTTCCACAAGACCAGTCCCTGGTGCTAAAAAGGGTGGGGACTACTAATCTAGTAGAATTCCTTATGCAGGGGCTGTGAGTTAACGTGGAGATTTCTGTGATCATAACTGCTTGGGAAATGGACTCCCAGCCTCCCAATATCTCTTTTGGTAGTGATCTTGTCTCAGTAGTAAGTATGGGTTGTATGAGTGATGGAAAAAAAAACGGAGAAAGATTTATAGGAATAGATCAGTAATAAAAAGCAAATACCTCATGGGAACCAATACTCAACAAGAAGCTTACTTATTCAGTCATCCAGCTTGCTATTTTAGAAAACCCAAAGAAATAAAAAAGTGTCTTTATTTCCTCTGTGAATAATGCTAATAGTTAAAAGGTTGCTTTTGACCACTCATTTCTGTTAGCTATAGAAAAGTCACCATAAGTTTTATCTATACATGTTTATATAATTCTGTGTTGTCTTCTAACAATTCAAACATCAAGAAAACACCATGTCAATAGCCTATAGGTACATAGACGATTTAGATTTGAAAAATTCTATTATGAGTATTTGATAACAATTCTAGGTCTATAACTTATTGATATATTTCAAAGGTGTATTTACATATATCAATCAGAGAAACAAAAACAGAACCCTGTTTTTAAGTGTAAGACATTAAGCCCCCAGAAGAGTGGTGAAGTGGAGAGAATGTGTGGCTATGTTCTAAATCCCCTTATGCACAAACTTACCTACTCATTTATATGGTTCTTTTTCTCTAATTGTGTTGAATCCAACTTGCTAGGCATGCTTTAAAACATTACATGGAGGTGTGATGTTACAGGAAAAATATTTTTAAAAGACTATAAACTTTGTACTTTTTTGGATACTTTATGGTTGAAAATTTCAATATACTGCTTTTTGGTCCTTAGTTTTTATTTCTATTAAGCCTCCCTTTGCCTCGCTCAATAAAGGATCACCTTTTGTCTGATTTGTACTCTCATCGTAGTTGTGTGACATGGTAAATCTTGTGCTCAGAAACACCTGGAAGTTGAACTTCTTGGAAAACTCTTAAATGAAGACACTCTTGGGTTTTTAAATTTCATTTATTTTTTGTTTATTACCAAGGAAAACTGAGCAAGAACCCCAAATTCCGGAACTGTAATTCCTGATGGAATACCCTGCCAGTGTAGACTACTGCCTTCTGACATTTCAGTAGCTAGGAAGATCTGATCATCCTATGAGATTCTTCACTGTTCTTGTTGATGCCTGGAATTTCAGTTTTGTTTTGAAATGCAGGCTTGAATGTAACATCTTTACATCATCACTCATTTATTCCAAATATAAAACATGGCACGACCTGCCTTAGAGGTTTTGACTAGTTTGAATTTAATTGGGTAATTGGAAGAATTTGGAGATTGAGGGCCCAAGGATAAATATTTGCATAGTATACTTAGTCCTAGGTTTGGGTTCCTGGGTTTAGTGGATTTTATTTACAGCTCTGCTATATTTTTCTGAATTGTTAGAATACATGTACCATATTGTATTCAATTTTAGTGATAGGTGTCTTAAGTGATCTCACTTTTCACCTACAGATTTTCTCAACAGTGTCCTCAATTTCAACACAACTTTTAAACTCTCTCTTCATTAGTTTTTTAAGCAAACCATTTAGCGTGGAAGTGGGGAAGCTTCAACCCTGGGCACATATTACACTCAATGAAAGTTTTGAGAAAAAAACAAAAACAAAAACACAACATCCTAGTTTTCCATTGTAGTCCAATTAAATCAGAATTGAGGCGGGATGGATGAGGCCTTTGCATTTTATTTAAAGGAAAATGCTTTTGGTGATCTTAAAATGCAGCTAGGCTTGAGAACTCCTAAGTACTTAAGCTTCATTGTATTATTTATACATTGTAGTTACTATTCCACCTTAAAATATGACCTTATGATATATTTACATATCTGATTCCACCACTATAGGAAAATAATCTTAAGACATAAAATTGAGCTTACTATATTTCATATTTGCCCTAGTGTCTGGGTCTCAATAAATGTTTGAATGAACAAATGAATTACAACGCAAGCCATATGACCCTATTTTCATTTGCATGAGGTAATCAATAAAAGTTGTTTAAGTGAGTGAATGGAAGGGGAAAAAAAGCAGATCTTCACCTTTAACAGTGTTTGGCACTGATCTCATGGACTATATTATTAGTAAATGCCAGATAATATTTCCATTGTTTGTGTATGTAGCTATTTATCTCTATAAAATTAAGTATTTTAAAAGATAAAAAAAGACTCAGATTTTTTTTTGTTGAGTTTACTGCTTTTTATAAGTTTTTGGAATGCCTAGCATCAAGGACTATTGAATGTGTATTGTTGACTGACTAAAATTGATTAAAATAAGTAAATTTGATTTTCCAATATTTAAAAAAAAATTTTAATCTACACTTTTTTTTTAACTTGCAAGAAAGTTCTTTCACTCCCCCAACCTTAAAAATCAATGAGTAAATTCCTTTATTACTTGACTTGGGTATAAATCTTTTTCCATATTACGAAGGGTCTGTTAAGACACCTGGAAGTAACAAGAATGCCTCAATTTTGCATAGTAATTCAAACATTACCAATTCTAATTCTCTACTGAATTTCATTTTTCTACTTCATGTGGGTAAAAGGAAGTTTATCTGCTTCACTCTGATATCCCACATAACTAGGATTCAAATAACTGTGCAGTGAACAGTGAATGTTGTACCTTGTACTTACAGAACTTCACTCTGACAAACTCAAAGAGCTTTAAAACGTGATTGTGTTAATCTTCACAATATCCCTTCTAGGAAGTAACATGACATTTTAATGTAAGAAAATCCAGGTGCAGTGTGAAAAATGCCAACCTGCTTTCTGGAGGGAATGTTTTAAAGATTTAAGATCTCTTTTAAGATTTTTTTGTTTATATATTTCAGACCTCAGGCTTCTCAGTGCTATGTTTTGTACCTGGTAAGTTTGAAATGATCCAGATGGTATTTTCAACCCAAAGGACACTTGTTTTTCTTTTAACAGAGACTTCACTACACATGTATTTTTTTAAAATTTCCTTAAAATTATTGTATACAGATGGTTTGACTACAGGTGTGACCCAACTGACTTTTGGGATTTTTGCTAATTAATTTCACTGCTTTAACAAAGAAGTGGCTTTCCAATGTGCAAAGACCAGTATAAGTTATAATGATAATGAAAATCATCATATGGAATAATTCTGCACCCCATTTTATTGGTTCAATAATTTTATTTTTCTCTTTGCCTTCAGTTTAATCATATTCCAGTCCATTGTCAACACTACTGTATGAGTGCTGTTTCCAAAATGCTTGAATACTTTCAGGATGGCCTTGCATGCCAGTGTTGTGCTGGAGACACCCACACACCCACCGTGACCTGCTTTCAGGTAGTTATTCTGCCACCCACAAACCTATACTCAAATGCCTCATTGTTTATTGATTTCGGATATAGTCACTGCTACTTGAATACGTCATTGAATTGTATTCTTCCATGCATTCAAACTGTTTCCTCTCCCTGCAATGCACATGTACCTTTTCTTCATCTAGCTACATTCTACTCAGCTTTCAAGAGTTCAGATTAAGAGACACCCATACTATAATCAATGGACTATATAGTAATTGTTGAGTTATTTACTCCAATAGACACTGGCTTCTTGAGGAAAGAAACAATATATTATATGTTTCAATGTCAGTATCTAGTATAATAACTTCCATATAGTAGAGATATTAAAACATGTATCTATTAAATGAATAATTTCCTTCTTATAATGTATATGCTTACATAAAGTTTCAAGTGTTTATTACCAATATTACCCATCTAATTTTTATATTAATGGTAATACTTAAAACAATTGAGAGATAATATTTTGACATAGTCATTTTCTTCATGATAATAGAATTATCATATGATAGAAGTTGATGTTATGCAAGCAATACAGAAGTGTTGAGCTCCTTACCACATTGTAGACCTTATTCACTGAATGCAAGTGATATTCATTAAGATAAATCACATTTTGGACTTTAATTAAAAGATAATGCCTTAGGGCTCAATTACTTTTTAAATTCTATGCAGCTTTTCTAGTAAAATCTTGACCCTTTTCTCAGGTTTTCCTTTAGCCTACCTCCATTTGAAGGTGGGAGGTCTACTCTTCAAATAGAAATCTTCTGTAATATTCTTAAAAGGATGTCACCATTACTTCCAACTTGGCATAATATCAGATTGTATTCATCTGCCCCTAATTGGCAATGTGAAACATTTAGGGGTAAGAACTGATGCTTATGGAGTGCTGCTTGAAATATTTGAAGTCATCTAGTCTTAGTTTAGAAGCTAACTGGGAATCAAGCCATGATACTGGGATGCAGTGTTATTTCCAATTTGGGGTTATTACAGATAAAGCAGCAGTGAACATCTGTGTACAGTATCTGTGGGGTATTAGTTCCAGAACCCCCTTGGATGCTGTTTTGGGCCCTCATAGATTTGTTATCTTGTGCTTTTTCATGATTCCTTCAGCTTGCAATAAGAGGCATTGTAGAAAATTGTTGTGTAGAACCTGCTGTCATCTTCACTGCCAAGTGATGCTCTTAAGGACATTGTACATTATATGGGGGGATTTCAAATATGACTGCTCATGAGAACCACTTGGGGAGATCTCCGTGCTCCACTTTAGACCTGCTGAATTAGAATCTCTGGGAGTAGTCCTGGAGATTAGTATTTTTTTCTTAAACTTTTTATCTTGAAATAATTTAGACTCACATGGAAGTTTCAAAAATGATATAGAGAGTTCCTTCATTCTAGTCTTCCAGCTTTACCCAATGATAACGTCTTAATAACTTTAAAAGAATAATCTAATACAGAAAATTGACAATGGTTTAATACTATTAACTACATACCTTAATTTGGATTTCAGGAGTTTTTACTGGAGCTATTTTTGGCATATTATAAAATTTTATCACATTTGTAGATTTGTGTAACTACCACCACAATCAAGACACAGAATGGTTTCATCAACCTCAAAAACTCCCTTGTGTTAGCTTTTATACTTACACTCTATTCTCCTTGGTGGCCACTAATCCTTGGTGGCCACTAATCTCTTGTCTACTTCCATAGTTTTGTCATATCAAGAGAGCTATATAAATAGAATCATAAAGTATGTAATCATTTGGGATAGGCTTTTTTTTTACTCAGCATAATCTCATTAAGATCAATCCAAGTTATTGTATCTATCAAAACTTTGCTCCTTTTATTGCTGAGTAGTATTCTATTATATGAATGTACCACAATTTGTTTATCTATCCATTCACCCATTGAAGTGTATTTATTTCCAGTTTGGTATTATTACAAATAAAGCAGCAGTGAAGATTTGTGTAGAGTAGCTCCTCAGTATCTATGGGGGATTAGTTCCAGGACAAAATGAAGAAATCATAAAGCAAAGTAATTGGTTAGTCAATCTAGGTGTAATTATTAGAGGAAATTGCTAAAAGTAGAAGCACTGAAAAATTACTACAATTAGCAGACATTTGTGCCTTTAAGGTGATAGGCGAGGCAGACCATGGATTTTTAAAACATGAAATGAAATAATAACTTTTGTACTTTTATGATATGTTGAACACAGGCCATCCTGGCAACTTGCGAAGTATTAAGATTCTAGTTTCTTGGGTAGGTGAAGTATAATAGATTTTAGATGATTACAAATCACTTCACTTGTGATTTGGCACTTACTTCTCAGATTAACAAATCATGTAAAAATGATTCAACCATTGCATATTAAAAGCTTGGAGATAAAGTTGATTGTATCTATTTCACTGAGTTTAAAAAGATTTTCTATAACTGTTCACACAGTCCTGCAACATTACACACAATTTTCACAAGTTATTGTGGAAATACAAGGTAAAGGCTTATTTCATTAATACATCATTTGGAGAAAACATGAAAAGTGCTTTAAAATGCTAATTTTGTTCAGGCATGATCTGAACAAGAATGACTTAGATGTTAGACATTGTGGTCATTCTCATTTTTAAAGAATACCAGTGAGTCATATTTTTGCAAGTTGATCTCAAAGAATTTGTCTAAGAGATTAAAAAGTATATATTACATTGGTTATTAAGAACTTGATTATTTAGTAGAGTTGGCTGTGTTTTACAGAATATCACTCTAAAAGATAGGACAGATAATAATGATAAGAATAAATAACTGTTAGTTTCTATGTTCCATCTTCTTTTCATTCAAGCCTCTCAACACACATTGAACATGATGGCTCTAGCTAAGTAATCAAAAGACAATTTAAAAAATTGCCTATTTAGCAATGTTTCTATCAAAATAGTAGGCTATCTCCTAGAACATTAAAAAAAAGCCGGCTAATTATTGAAATAAACAGCTCTTAAATATCGATCTTATTTCAGTGAAGATTTGTTGCTTGCTCACATCACATAGTCCATGGCAGTCTGGCATATCTCTTCAAAATAGTGATGCGGAAGCTCATCCTCTCCCTTCATCTTTTGGTGCCTGTTCAACACATGACCTGCATGCTTGCCTCAGAAGTGGAAAGAGAGTGGAGGATAGCTTGTGGGAGATTTAAGGGACTAGGGATTGAAATGGCACCTATTCCATCAACCAAAGTGGAGTCATATGGCCCCACCACCTTTAAGGATGGGGCGGGGGGGGGAATATAGTGCTCAGGAGAGGCAGAAAAAGAAATGGGTTTAGTAAGAAAATAGCAGCATTTGAGTTTCACTCTTTAATTAAGTCAGAGTATTAATGCTCACACTATGTTGGCCGTGGAAGTAGGCCATTCAAATCTCTGTCAAGTGGACCTGCTGAGGGGACCATAGTTGATTTATAGCCCCAGCTGTTACACATTTGAGTCAATACCTCAAGCTGATGTAAGTCAATGATTGAGCTTAGTGGGAATGCAAGAACCAGACCATTAATGCTCAAAGTGAGATTTCTCCAAGAGCAACTGGTTCTTAAAGTCCACCATTGACCTGGCCTGGCCAAGATGTTCTTGGAACTGCAGTTTTCAGAGATTGCTTCTAACTCATTTTTTCTTCCCTCTCTTCTTTCACAAGTGTCAGACCTATAGGGTGGTTTAAAGGCTCTTCTTGTCACTCTTACTCCCACTTTTATCTTTCACAGAGCCACCGCAATAAATCTCTTGACTGTCTAATTGTATTTTGATTTTTCCTTACTGGAGGACCTGAACTGACAGAAATGGAGCTAGGATTGATTTATTTAGAAAATAAGATGAGTTTTGAGAATGAGTCACTCTCTACCTGACTAACAAAGATGAGCTTGTTTTAAGGGGAAAGTGCAGCATGGATAATCCCCATCCCAAAATAATGGCCTAATTCCTGAAGGGCCCTGGGAAAATGTCCTGGTATAGAGAAATGATTTTGCTGGTGCAATGTTTCAGGCATTTATGAGATATGTGGAGAACAACTCCTTTTTAAGGACTGTGGAGTTGCCTAGTTACTACTACTTGTATTGACACTGAGGGTGATTAACAGTTAAATACTTTGGTAGCTTATAAAAATCCCCTCCTCATCTGTAGAAAGACCAGCCTGGAGTCATGTATTAGTCAACCAAGTCTGTCATAATAGAATGCCACAGGCTGCATGACTTAAACAACAGAAATTTTTTTCTCAAATTCTAATGACTGGAAGTTCAAGATCAGGGTGCCAGTGGAATTGTTGTCTGATGAGAGCTCTCTTCTTGGCCTGCAGATGATCAACCACTTTTTTGCTGTGTCCTCACATGGCCTTTCCTCTCTGCATGGTCAAAGATAATTTTAGATTAGATTAGAGGTTTTTTTGATCAAGGGGAGAAGAATATAAGGCAGGATATTTGAAAATTCATTTACTTGGTGGTACTTTCTCAGGAGATGTGATTTAGTACCTTGCAAGGACTGAAGGGAATGAGGAAAACTTACTGCTGAGGTGGCCACTCAATGTATGGAAAATCAAAGGGCCATGCTGAGTAAAGTAGAAATTCGTTAATTTCCTTGCTATGTTGTAGAAATAGAATAAAATGTTTCAGGCATGCGGACATACTGGAATGGATATATTGTGCAAGGCCAGAAGGCCCACCAGATGATTATCTTCTATCACTAAGGCCATGAGGAATGTTCTGGTGAGAGGGTCTTTAGCATCACTGAGAAATTCAGGAGTGTATCTTCTCTTTAGGTTAGGGCTGATAGCAGGTGAGGGGCCCACAGACCTGGGCTCTTTAATAACCATGTGGATGATGAGGCACCAAAATAATAAACACCAGGGGGTACCATTTAAAATCAGAAACCAGGAGGTTACAATAACTATAACAATCCGAAAGTTCAGAGGGGCAGTCAAGATTCAGGGAGCTAGTTAATAGAGGATGGCTACAGAGGAAAAATAGATGGGCAGCCAACAAGGGTGTTGCTTAATATCTAGAACCAGAACATGGTAAGAATGGAAGAGCAGGAGGCTGCAGGGAGTCACTTCAATGAGCAATCATAATTCCTTGCTCAGTTTCCAGATCTGAGCTAATTTTCAAATACAGCAACTACTGACAGAAGAAGTAGCCAGATTTTCTAGAGGAAAGAGCTGCCAGTATGTACTGCAATGACTCCCAGTTCAACCTCAAAAGAGCCCATGATCACTTGAGTGCTTTCGCACTGGAGAAAGGGTCACGCCTAGACATTTTTAGAATGATTTTACAGAGAATCCAAGTTGATATTCATACTACGGGACTCAAAGCTCATTATTGTTCCCTGAGAGAGTAGGGAGTACAAGGGCTAAGTAATAAATGGAGTCCTGGCTAAAAGTTAAGCTATTGGGTTCCTGGGTAGAAGCACCTAATTATTATTTCCCTGGTCTTTGAGTGTATAATAGGAAATGATATTCTTGGCAGTTGGATAACATCCATCTGAGTCTTTGACCTGTGAAGTAAGAGTTATCACAGTGAATACCAGTGCCAAGTGGAAAACTCTGAAAATGCTCTTCACAGCCCCCTGACCAAGATATTCAATTGAAAAATACTATAACACCTTGCAGGAAATGGTTGGGATTACTGCTTCAGTTACAGATCTAAAAGTTAAGGGGATGGTGGTCCTTATTATGTCACCATTTAATTTTCCAGCATTTATCCATTTTATGTAGGGGCCTGATAGTCAAATTGGTGACTTACTTTGTTCAGCTTGTTGTAGACTGTCACAAACTTAGTAAAATCACATTCCATTTACAGCTTCCATGCTGACTGTGGTATTATTGCTAGAACAGATTAATAAGTACTTAAGTATATGGAATTCAGCCATTGACTTGGGGAATGCCTTCCTTTTTATTTCAACTAGAAAGAAGGATTAGAAAAAGTTCAAGTTTGTATAGAATGAACACGAATATTCACTTACAGATTTGCTCCAGAGTTATGTCAATGCTTGTCCTCTCTGACACAATATATTCCAAAGAGATATGGATTCTCTGACATCTCACAGAATGTCACATAGATCCATTATATTGATGACATCATGCAGACTGCACTAGATAAGCAGGAATGGTTAGTGCCCGCCCTGGAGACCTTGGTAAGATACATGAACTCCAGAGGAAGGGACACAAATCCTGTAAGATTCAGGGCAAAGTCATCTGCAACAGAAAATTATATACCTTTTCAGAAACAGTTCCTGACAATATTTGTGTTTCTTTTAAATTGAATGTTAACTTGGCCTGGTATGTGTTATTGCAGAGGTTAGAAAACTTTTCCTTTAAAAGGCCAGATAGTAAACCTTTCAGCTTTGTGAGCTATATGGTCTTATTTGCACCTACACAGCTCTGCTGTCATAGTTCAAAAGGCACTATAAACAATTTCTCAACAAATACACATAGTTGTATTCCAATGAAATTTTAACTACCAAAACAGGTGGTGGCCACATTTGGCCTATGGGTTGTGATCTGTTGTCCCACATATTGTTGAATCACAGTATCCTTCATAATTTTTTGAACTTATTTATTCAGCAGGTATATATTGAATACATACTGTGTGCCAACTCTTCTAGGGACACATTGGTGGACAAAACAGACAATCAAAGAAAGATTTCTGCCTTGATAAACAAAGAAACAATAAATAAGTGCACATAAAAAGAAGGAAAAGAGAAAGAACAGAAAAAAGAAAAAGAAATAGAGAAAGCAAAAAATGTACACGCAAATAAGCAAGAAAAAATAATAACAAATAAAAGGCGGCAGTGGTGGGGGGATGAGATAGAGAAATCAGATGGTAGGACAGGCCACATTTGATAGCATTGCCACAAATACTTCTCCACGTTCAGTAATAATTGAGAAGGTTTCAACTATGTGAAGATCTGGGAAAAATATTCCAATAATGGGACAAAGCAAATTCAAAGTCTCTGTGGTGTGATTGAGAAAAGAGTGAAGTGCAGTGTTGTCAAACAAATTGACTTAAAGAGAGAGTGGTGGGACTTGAAGTGGGAGAGGAAAGTGTGAGAATTGTAAAGCATTTGAATTTTATTTTAAATTCAATGAGAAGACACTGGAGAGTTCTAAGTGAGAAATTACATTTTCTGATTTATGTTTTTTAAATAGCTAACTCTGGTCCTATTTGAAGAGTGGATTTAGTGGAAAAACTTAAGATGGGAGACCATTTAGAAGGCTATTGCTGCAATTCTGGAAAGAATTGATTTACTTTTTTATAAGAATAGGTTTATAAACCTATTTTTGACTCTCCCAGTTCAACTTCAAAAGGGCCCATGATCACTTGAGTGCCTTCACACTGGAGAAAGGGTCATGCCTGGACATTTTAAGAATTATTTTACACAGAAATCAAGTGATACCACTTGTGATATAATTCAAGTGATATCATTCAAGTGATTCTTTATAATAAAGAATAGGTTTATAAAGAATAGGTTTATAAGCCTATTCTTTATAAACCTATAAACCTTATTCTTTTATATGATAACCCCCCCCCCACCACCTACCTTCATCAATCGTTTATTGTTTTCAACTAACCACAAAGATATTGGAACACCATACCTGCTATTCGGCGCATGGATGGGGATAGTTGGCACTGCTATAAGCCTTCTAATCCGAGCAGAACTAGGCCAACCAGGAACTCTGCTAGGAGATGATCAGATCTATAATGTCATTGTTACTGTCCACTCATTCGTTATAATCTTTATGGTGATACCAATCATAATTGAAGGTTTTGGCAACTGGCTAGTCCCTCTGATAATTGGTGCACCCGATATGGCATTCCCCCGGATAAATAATATGAGCTTCTGACTTCTCTTCCCATCTTTTCTACTCCTACTTGCGTCTTCAATAGTAGAAGCTGGTGCTGGAACCCGCTGGACAGTTTATCCCTCTTTAGCAGGAAACCCATCACATGCAGGAGCCTCTGTGGACCTGATCATCATCTCGCTCCACTTGGCAGGTGTCTCTTCTATTTTAAGGGCCATTAACTTTATTACGACAATTATTAACATAAAACCCCCAGCTATATCCCAGTATCAAACACCCCTTTTCGTTTGATCAATCCTCATTACGGTAGTCCTTCTACTCCTTTCCCTCCCAGTCCTAGCTGCCGGCATTTCTACACTATTACTACACTACTAACTGACAGTAACCTCAACACTACTTTTTTTGACCCTGCTGGAGAGGGTGACCCTATTTTGTACCAACATTTATTCTGATTTTTTGGTCACCCTGAAGTCTATGTACTTATCCTACCAGGCTCCGGGATAATCTCCCACATTGTAACATATTATTCTGGAAAAAAGGAACAATTTGGATACATGGGCTTAATATGAGCCATGATATCAATTGGCTTCTTAGGATTTATCGTATGGGCTCACCATATATTTACAGTAGGAATAGACGTAGACACACAAGCATACTTCACCTCTGCTACCATAATTATTGCTATCCCTACTGGCGTCAAGGTCTTTAGCTGATTAGCTACCCTGCACGGCGGTAGCATCAAATGATCTTCCGCAATATTCTGAGCCCTAGGATTCATTTTCCTTTCACAGTAGGAGGTTTAAGCGGCATCGTATTAGCTAATTCATCACTAGATATTGTCTTACACGACATATACTATGTTGTAGCCCATTTCCACTATGTTCTATCAATAGGAGTGGTATGCGCCATTATAGGAGGCTGTGTCCACTGATTCCCCCTATTTTCAGGTTATACACTTAATCAGACCTACGCGAAAATCCACTTCACCATTATATTCGTCGGTGTTAATTTAACCTTTTTTTTTTGCAGCACTTCCTTTGCCTATCCAGTATGCCTCGATGTTACTCTGATTATCCCGATGCCTACACCACTTGAAATATTATCTCATCCATAGGCCCATTTATCTCACTAACAGCAGTTATGCTAATAATCTTTACGATCTGAGAAGGCTTTGCTTCAAAATGAAAAGTACTGACAATTGAACAACCATCTACTAATTTAGAGTGGCTTTACGGCTGTCCACCACTTTACCATACATTCGAAGAGCCAGCCTATGTGAAAACCTAAATGAGAAAGGAAAGACTCGAACCCCCAGAAACTGGTTTCAAGCCAATCCCATAACCTCTATGACTCTCTTGATAAGATATTAGTAAGATTATTACATAACTTTGTCAAAGTTAATTTATAGGTTAAACCCTATATGTCTTAATGGCTCATCCAGTTCAATTAGGCCTTCAAGATGCTATATCCCCTATTATAGAAGAACTACTCACTTTCCATGATCACGCTCTTATAATTATTTTCCTAATTAGTTCCCTAGTCCTATACACTATTTCCCTAATACTCAGAACAAACTTAACTCATATTAGCGCCATACATGCCCAAGAAATTGAGACTGTGTGAACTATTTTACCCACCATTATCTTAATTTTAATTGCCCTCCCATCCCTACGTATTCTGTACATAAGAGACGAGGTTAACAACACTTCTCTTACGATCAAAGCAATTGGCCACCAATGATATTGAAGCTATAAACATACAGACTCTGAAGATTTAGGCTTCTATTCTTACATGATTCCAACAGCAGACTTAAAGCCAGGAGAACTTCGACTCCTCGGAGTTAATAACCTTATAAGAATAAGGTTTATTCTTTTATAATGGTTCAGATAAGGGAGATAGCAGAGGCTTTGGAGAGAAGCTATTGACAGAAGATATATTCAGTAGTACTCTACAGTAGCCCTTACTAATAGGAATAAATGAGTGAAGAAGAGAGCAAAATAACTGATGCCTGCTTGGTTTTTAGCTTAATACATTTGACGTTTACTCTTACCAAGATGGGAAAGACTGAGGGAATAACAGTCTTTTTAGAATCAGGGAGTACCTCAATATGTGCCAGTTTGATAAGCAAAATACGTGAATACAGAAAAGCAGTAAAATATGCGAGCCTGAAATATGAGATGAAACCAGAGATGGAGGTCATTAATTTGTAGAAAGTATGTGGTGACACTTAGGGAAAAGGTCATACAAAAGAGAAGAGAGCTCAGGAATGGACGTTGTGCCATGTCAACATTTACAGCAAAGTAAAGTAAGAACATGGTAGTTGTGGTACTAGAGATGGAGGAAGCAAAGTAGAAGGAGGAAGACTAGTTAGAAAAGAAAAAAGAGAAGGCGCTTCAACGGGGTATGAGGAAGAAGAGGAAAGTACGATGGTAAAGTTAAAAGACAGCATTTCAAGAAGGAGGTTAACAGGCAAGTAAAGAAAGAAACTACAATCAGAAGGTAGCATATGTAACCATGACCTAATAGTTACTTTCTTAAAAAATAGTCATTAAGAACTCATGTAGGGGTTTGAAATTTGGGGTGAAGTCAGAGATGTGGGTCATTAATTTATAGAAAGTATGTGACACTTAGGGAAAAGGCCATAGAAAGGAGAAGAGAGCTCAGAGAATACCAATGTACTCCCTGATTCATGTAAAGGTTTTTAAGTGACTATTTTTAAAGAAAGTAACTACTAGGTCATGGTTGCATATGCCACCTTCTGATTATAGTTTTTGCCTTCCCTGTGTAATAGGGGAAAGAAGGCTAGTCTGGTCAGTGAGATTACAATGAACTAGGGAGGAAACAGAAAGAGAGGGTGTCTCATGTGAGATGTGGGATATCAAAACCTGAGGAGCCAGGAAAGCTGAAACCAGCCAGAGCTGAAACTAGAGTCTGAGAAGTCAGAAGGGGTCATCTGGATGATTACCAAGCTTGAGGCACCAGAATCAGATATCAAAGCTGAGTTATGGAGCCAGGAAGGCAGAAACTACAAAGACTAGAACAAGCACAAGCAAGGTGAGAATAGAAGGGAGGTGTCTAGAACTTCCTCCCAGATCAGGATCTTTTAAAAAATGTAACAGCCTAGGTGTAGCCACATTGGGTCAGGCTCAGCAGAATAACAGACGCTGGTTCCATTATGTATGGGCTCTCTTCTCCAGTTGGAGTGTGCCAAGGCTTCTTGTGGATTTTTGAGAAGAAAGGCCTCTCATGTTCTGGTGGATTCTTGGTGAAAACTCCTAATTTGGGAAGTGGGAAATGATTTCGCATAATCAGGGCTGCTTCCTGTGTGTGCAGCCTGTGTAGTTGCACAGGGCCCCGTGCTTAGAAGGACCCCATGTTCGGTTTAATGCTCTGCTGTCACCACCTTGACATTCTTATAGTTTTTGAACCAGGGCCCCTGCATTGTTAGTTTACACTGGACCCATAAATGATGTAGCCAGTCCTGCAATAATTGCTTTTCTAGCCACATAGTTTACTTTTTTTTTTCTGACCATGGGGTTAGTTTGAGTGGATGCTCTTTCTGCCACGTGTTTGGGTTAACTTTCTGCATCTGGCTGTAGATTTGTATCTAAACATTAGCAGACCAGAAGAATACAAAAGCTAAATAATTCAAACAATGCTCTTTATAGTAGTTTTTAAACTGGGAGTCATAGCAATAGCCCAGGTGTCTGGATGGCACACAGAAGAAGGAGACTTCCTTGGTGAACAGTGTAGTGGTGGCTAGATCAGAAGGAGGCAAGGTGTGGGATAAGGGGCAGCATGTTGGTGAATGGCCAACCACCACCCAGATGGCAGCAAGTCATGGAGGAGAGGCAAATCCTCCACACAAATCCTGTTGTATTAGTCTGTTCTCACGCTGCTAATAAACACATACCTGAGACTGGGTAATTTATAAAGAAAAAAAAAGAGGTTTAATGGACTACAGTTCCACATGACTGGGGAGGTCTCACAGTCATGGTGGAAGGTGAAAGGCATGTGTCTTACATGGCAGCAGGCAAGAGAGAGCTTGTGCATGGAAACTCCCCTTTATAAAACCATTAGATCCCATGAGACTTATTCACTATCACAGGAACAGCATGGGAAAGACCCCCACCCCATGATTCAATTACCTCCCATCAAGTCCCTCCCACAACATGTTGGAATCATGGGAGCTACAATTCAAGATGAGATTTGGGTGGGGACACAGCTAAACCATACCACCTGGGAACAACCAGTGACAGCAAGAAGTTTTATTAGCCCTTGTGCTTTCACCTCTGTCCTTGGCCAGGATGGCAAGCAGCCACAATATTCCATGGATATTATATTGAGAAAATGGGGACTGTAGGGCAACCTCTTCCACTCTGTTTTGTCTCTTGTGAAACTTTGCTTTTCCATGATGGTTTATGCATTCTGATGCATAAATAATTTGAGAGTAGAAGTATTTAAAAATTATTCCCATCTTACCCAGCAGGGGACTCAGTGTGTCTGCCCTTGCCTCAGTACTCAAGGCTGCAGTGATAAGATTGTGCCACCATGAAAGACCATCTGACTTTCATGTCTCAATGCAGCTCTAATGACCAGAATCTCTTTCTTTCTCATAAGGCAGTTGTCCAGGTCTGAGGCCAATATCTTGAAGATGCAGGCCCAATGTTTACCTCCACCAGTGAGGAGATAGGATGGCCTCCACTCTGATGTTGGGGCAAACAGTTTCATCTTGTGTGTCCTGGATTGGATCAGAGTAGAATAAAATCAGGGTGAGGCAGACAGGGTTTCCAATTACTCAAATATTTTGTCTTTGAGTAAATATATAATAAATCTCTTCCCTTTCAGAAGAACCTGTGAGCTACATGATAAATTGAGCACTTAAGGTGGTCACTTAATGCAAATCCAAGAACCACTGGACATCCTTGGTTGTTTGGTGTTTTTAGCATTCAGAACTGTTAGTAACTTGTCCACAAGCATGTAAATCTCTACGCTAACACTGCAAGGCAGAAATTCGATTTTCATAGTCCTGAATATACATGTCTCAGTACAGCTTGAGTGAGTGAGTGGCCTGAACAAGAGATTTGAGGGAGGTGAAATCAATCCACTCTGTTAAAATGTCATTTAAGTTTTAGATGTGGCCATGGACCAGGAGGTAAGATAGTATTTCATTCAATTAAAGTTACCTAGAGGTTGCATGAAAAGTATATGAAAATCTACTCAAACTATGTGGGAAAAATCCATGAGTGTCTTCTTTATTTTGATGGTTTTGCAAGTCTGAACTGTTTTATTCAATATAGGTGTTTTATGTATCCCCGGGCTCAGTAGGCTCAGGTGCTGGGACTCATGGGGAACATGGGGACTCTCCCTTGGTTATCTCATTGGGCTGTGGCTATTTTGCATAGATGAAGCTCTCTAGGTTTTGAAGAGCTGAAGCGACAGAGGGCCTGAGACCCCTTTCCAGTTGTGCCTGCAGAGGGTACAGCTATGTGTCTTCAGAGGTCCTTGAATCTGGTTAAAAAAAAAAAAAACCCAAAACCCAAAAAAGTCTGTATCACTATTAGGTCTATCATGTGATTACTCTCCAGATTCAGGGGGAGTATGTGAACATACCCTCTGGGAGGCAGCGCATCTGCCCTGCAGTGGGTTGGTCAAAGAAGAGAAGAACTGGTGATGGCATTCCTCCAGAGTTGCAGGCAGTGTTGACAGCAATGCTCAAAGAAGTTTAGCTTGTGGATCCTTCAGGTGAGGATGATATCATGGATGTCCAGTATGGAGACATTGAGGACCAGGGAAAATGTGGAAAACTCTTGGTGGACAGGCATTATGGCCCCCTGAGTCCAGCCTCATGAGGGCACTTATATAGGGACAGGTCCTTCTGTAGGTAGGTGCTGTTGGCAGAGACTTGAGCTTAATATGGTTGATCATGGGAGGTTGTGGAGTCACCAGGGGCTTCTCCTTACCCTTGAAGACTAAGGAATAGAGTGCCATGGGATTTAGGACAAGGCTCTGCCAGATTCTTGTTAGCATTAAATTACAGAAATCTTTTTTAGTTTACATAGTAGTGTTCATGCTGGGAGTGTTCACTTGGAGTTCCTGCCCTGCCACAGAATAGGCACAGCAGCCCTCCCTGCCAGTGAGCCTCTCTCTGGGGTCAGCTAGAAGAAGGGGTAGGCAGCTGGAGGCAGTGTACACATCACTACTTTTAGCGTTTAGACTTTTTTTTTTTTTTTTTTTTTGCCTATTGATCCCTGAGTCTTTTCCTCAGTTAAGCCTCCCAAGCCACGCCATTGAAACCCAATTATGAACTGAAAATGCCCTCTGCCTACCAGCATCACTCCCCAGCAGTTAGTGGCATTCCCCCAATGCGCTATCATACACTTTCATTTCTGAGATTTTTACAAAGTCCCCTTGAAGACTTCTTTTTCTTTAAGAAGGAGGTCTGCCAACTATTCATCTCCCATGCACAAGTGGTTCTGTAAATGCTATAGTAAAATGTCTTCTACATAAAACAAAGCCACAGTGGCTAGAAATATGTTAAAGCTTTGTCTCATTAATTAGTTTTGATTCTGAAATTATATGGAATATTTGTGGGAGAGGTATATATATTTTGTAAAATAATTACTTTTGTCTTAAAAGTAACTCTCTCTAACATGAGCTCTAAGAACCTTGTTTGAAATTTCATTACATGGTCAATTCAGCATGTAATGAAAAGTTCAGGGAAGGATTGGAGTGCATAACTTGGGCCATGGGAGACATGGATATGTTTCATATTTCTTAATTTATACCTCTTTGTAGAAATGGGTGAATAATCCCAATTTTCTGCAGGAATAGAGCCACCGTATAATATTCCAAAAAAAAAAAAAAAATCCATGGGTTGCTATGGAGATGATAATGCTTGCAGTCCCTGGGCTCTGCCCACTGGGGATCCCAGGGAACAGTTGCTGCCAGGGTTTCTCCCCTTCTGTGTCCCTTGGTAGAGGATCTGTATCCCAGGTGATGCTCAGGCTCTGCTCCCAGCCCCAGCTCCACCTGGAAGAGGGAGAGGTCTTCTTGGGGAGGGACGTCCTCTTAGTCTAGCTCTTTCATCATGTGGAAATGATGCCTCTCTCTGTATTTGGAGAACTGGGTTGGCTACTTGTTTGGTAAAAAAGCTTCAAGACATTTAACCGATCATGGAATACTTCTAAAAATGCTGACAGACTCATCACTATTTCTTTTATAACTGTATTAGTTTCCTATTACTGCTGTAATGAGTTACTACAAATTACCTGGGGGCTTAAAACAACATGAATTTAGTCTCTTACCATTTTGGAGGCCAGAAGTTCAAAATCAGTCCCATTAGACTAAAGTCAGGGTGTCAGCAAGGCTGGTTCCTTCTAGAGGCTCTAGGGGAGAATCCATCTGCTTGCCTTCTCTAGCTTCTGGAGGCCATAGTATTTCCTGGCTGTGGCTCCTTTCCTCCATCTTCAAAGTCAGCAGTAAATCATCTCCAAATCTCTTTCTCTCTGTCCCTCTGCTTGTGTCACCACCTGGTCATCTTTCTCAGTCTGAGACACCTCTCTCTCTCTTCTTGTTTTTTTTTTTTTTTTTGAGATGGAGTCTTACTCTGTCGCCCAGGCTGGAGTGCAGTGGCACGATCTCAGTTCACTGCAACCTCCGCCTCCCGGGTTCAAGTTATTCTCCTGCCTCAGCCTCCCAAATAGCTGGGATTACAGGTGCATGCCACCATGCCCAGCTAATTTTTGTATTTTTAGTACAGATGGGGTTTCATCATGTTGGTCAGGGTGGTCTCGAACTCCTGACCTCATGATCTGCCCGACTTGGCCTCCCAAAGTGCTGGGATTACAGGCATAAGCCACCGCGCCTGGCCACACCTCTCTCTCTTATAAAGACCCTCGTGATTACACTGGGCCTATTCAGATAATCCAGAATAATTTCCCCATCTGAAGACCCTTAATTTGATCATGTCTACAGCCTCTTTTACCATGTAAGGCCACCTATTCATTGTAGGTATTCCATATAAGGCCACAGATCCCAAGGATTACAATGTGACATCTCTGGGGTTGGGGAGGTGTGGGTATTATTCAGCTTACAACAATAAAGAATGAGTGTAGAAATATGAAGTTCGTGGCCTTATTTGCAGTATGTCTTTATGCAAAGCCTTTTACAAATCATTTCCAGGAAAATCCTTAGTTCTGGCAGAGACCTTTTATAAAAACCACTTCAGTATAAAATTGTCCTATTTTGCCACTGCCAAGTTAACAAGCAGTTTAACCACAGGCTGTTTTGCAAATGTGATTTTAAACAGCCAATTACTTTGGATATATTTATTATTTTGTGTTCAGTGTAATGGCAATGAATTCAATGAATTAATATTCACATAGTTGTCACATGCCATTTCTAAAGAGTTCTCCTTGAGCCCAATGCTCATTAGAATTTCCTAATAAACACTATAAAATGACTCTATCCTGAAATATTGTCAAATTACAATGGAAAAAAATCACATACACAAAATCCGTGTAACCAGGCATAGGAATTCTGAGCATCTCCTTCCTTCTCTTTCTTTCTCTCTGTGTGTCTCTCTGTTTCTGTCTCTCTCTCTCTCTCTCCATCTGTCTGTATCTGTCTCTCTTTCTTTCTCTATCTGCCTCTGTTTTTTTGAGCCCTTACTCTGAGGGAAGCCAGTTACCATGTTGTGAGCAACTCTTATGGGGAGACTCATTTGAGGAGAATCTGGTGTTTTCAGTCTAGAGTCAGCAATGACCTGAGCATGAGGTTGGAAGCAATTAGAAAAAAAAAATTCCTGAAAACATTTATCCAAATTAAAGCTGCTGAGAAATATAAGGAATAAATAAGAGCTTCTTGGTACCAAAGAAACGAAGATTACAGAATGTCCTTTGTTAGTCTTAAGAATGAAGGGGAAAATGAAAATACCCTTTCTCAGTACAAAGAATCAGTGAAGAGACTATTAAATTTGACATGAATTATGAAGTAGAAAAATTTGCTTAATTTATTAATTTTATGATATATGTAATCAATATCTAATTTGGCATAACACTGTAAATGTTTTTTAAAAAAGTCTCTGAATTGACTTTGGAGATAACTGCATCCCTGGCCAACACCTTGATTGCAGCCTCATGAGAGGCTCTGAGACAGACCCAGCTAGCTAAGCTGCTCACAGGTGCCTGACTCACAGAGCCTGTGAGATAACAAATGCTTGTTGTTTGCAGTCATGACATTTTGAGGTAATTTGTGAGGCAGCAATAGATAACTAATACACCAGCCTTGAGCATCTTAAAGTCTCATAAAAAATTAGTAACTTACTCAAGACTGTACCTTCAACCAAATGTTGGATTTTGACTACTCTGCAAAGGCAGAGGTGGAGGAAGGGGAGAGCTGAGCATAAGGCAAAACTCTGTTCACCCTAAAAGTTGGACCTGTGTATTCCTATGACACTGACAAAGTGGACATGCTGAGAATACATTTGCATGGGGCACTTAAAAGCATCCTGGGAATAAACTCTTCCTAAAAAGATTTGTTACATTAGTCAAGTCCTAGTGTTAGAAAAGAGTGAACACAGCTTGATGCTTTACTTAAATGGACTGCTTGGCCTGGACAAACAGGAATGTGGAGAAAGCTGCTTTGGGAAAAATGAAATAAAGTTTTCTAGAAAAGACAAGTATTCCAAAATTTCTGGGAGATGATATACTGACCACAAAGCAGCTGTGCTTTGTGCTCCCAGGGTGTAACTTTATCATGAGGAAGAGGGGCTTCCCTTGGAGTACCTTGGACTGCAGAGGGCATAAGTGTGAAATGGCACTACCTTCCCTGCCTATGGAGAGGGGCCTGGAAGGGGTTTCACAGACAGAAGCCATCTGGGCCACCACAGTGTGTCAGAGCCAAAGTAGGGAAGGAGGGACTGGCAGAGGCAATGTGAGAGCTCAGAAGTTTCTGTGTATGGGCACCAAGGAAAAGGAAGCCTGCAAATTCCACAGTCATGAAACAGAGCCAAATTAGAGAAATAATATACTGCCATTATGATTTTTCTTAATCCTCAGGCTGGTGTGCTCTGTGAAACAGAAATTATATTCCTTGGGTTTCTCTGGGTAATTAGTAACTCTAGTATGGCATCTATTTATAGCATGGACTAATTGCTACCCAAAGATTAGAACTAACTGCCTTGTATTAAACAGATAATAGCATGAGCATAGAGAAAATGTGTACTGCCAGAGATTATTTATATATCCCCAAGCCTGTGCATAGCAATAGAAAACTGGGTTAGAAATATTGTTGCAGCTAGTAGAAAAGACTGTTTAGTTTCCAAGGGAAAAGTGACGGTCTTCCCTGGAGACCAGAGGGTCCCTGCCAGCATTAGGCAAAGAACGTTTTGACCCTAGCTGGAACTTTCCACCAAGGCATTATGTAAAAGGAGGTAGGGATGGAAAATAGAGAGAAAAGTGTGTTGATTGAAGCCTACAGGATCCATAGGGAATAACATCTGCTCTATCAAGGCAAAGAATGTCTTACAATTGTGGGGGAATGCTTGGTGATGGGTACATAGGTGTTTTAAACCAAGGAAAAAGCCCCACGACCATATGGATTCCATTTTTAAAGGTATATCAGACTGTAGGACATTTGTGCTTGTAATTGTGGAAAAAAAGCTTTTTTATTGAAAGTAATAGAAATAGTAGGTGAGATGAGGTTCACTCTAAGCAAATGGTTGCTATAGTAAAATATTTTAATGGTGGCTAGGATAACAGGAAAGAAAGTATGATTCCCATACTTAATACAAATTGATAGAGGAGGAGAAATAGAAAGTCATTTATAGCAAAAAAGATGGGCAAAACCCAAGATGGGGAAGCACTAATCATTGGAACAGCTACCAAGTTATCCAGCATTTCAAGGCACTATCCTAGAAGTATCTTTGAGGTGACCCAAACTAGTGGCCGATCATTAAGTTCTTCCCTAATATTGTGTGTAATAAACATATAGAACTGTGAGTTGGAACAACCAACCATTTCATTACTGTTTCATTAATACCATTTTTTCTTGTGGCACACGACCACAGCAAAAGCAAAATTTTAGTAACTTAAAAGTCCAGTTTTACTTGGTAAGCCATGTCAAGCCTAGCTTTTCTGGTCTTTTAAACATGAGGTTTAATTAATGATGGTTTGATTCCATAGCTCCCAAACTTTTTGTGCAGTAGGGTGGTGCTACTCAAAGTTTGGATCCAAGCTCCCTGCACATCAGTCACCTTAGAAGTGTGTTGAGAAAGAAACACACACACACACACACACACACACACACACACAATGTATATATATATATATAAAATATATATATTTATGTGCGTGTTATATATATACACACACACGTGTGTTTTATGTGTGTGTGTATATATATATATAGAGAGAGAGAGAGAAAGAGGTGGGGCCTGGGAATCATAATTTCAACTATTATGCTTTCCTTCTTGAAGTGACAAGTACTGTAGGGACTGTACTTTGAGAAGCCTAGTTCCAGGGAGATTTTGATTGATGAATTCTGAGGAAAGGCAGGGGGAGGAAGACAACCACCAAGAAGGAAGTGCAGAGCAGGGAATGTAGTCAGAAACTCCATGATCTTGCCTTTCAAATTGCTTCAAATTGATTTCAAATTTGATATTAACAATAGAGTTTTGTCTATTCCAGTTCCCATAATAAAGACTGGAGGTAAGTTGAGATTCAATCTCCCACTTGCTTGTGCCCCGAAGATCCAAAATTAAAATTTGACTCTGGGGACAAAGAGGGTACTGTTGATGGTATGGCCTGGAAAATCAGCTACAGGCTGGACCTTAGTCCACTATTAGCCCCTAAGCTACAAAAGGGAGTTTTACAGAATGTAGAGAAGCCTTGTTATGGGATAGTATCAGTAATTATTAGGATGATAATGATAATAGTGAATGTTCCTATCATTTACTTTTAAACACAGACTTGAACAGTCTTAGGTAATTCTTATGATAACCATATGATATCAGATGAGGAAAATTAGGCTTAGTAACTTACCAAGTGTATTTTGCTGCTATGTGGACAAACTGGGCTTTTAATTTCAGCCTGTTTTTCTTCAAAACCTATGAACTATATCACTAGTCTCTTTGCCTCCTTAAGTGATACTGTGAGGGAAAGGATAAAGCTATTCTAAATTAACTTTTCACAAGAGTTGTTAAATCAACGTTGATTACACTACTTCTGTGATTAGAGCTTCTGGAAAGTCTCTACACAGGTGGCTCTTGGCTATTTATTGTGTAGGTAACAGCATCCCTCAGAGTCAAGCCTAGGAAAAGTTTCTGTTTATCCCAATAAAAAAGATTTTCCATTTCTGGGACTAGAGACCTTTTAAGGATATTAGCAGGAGGAGTGTAGTTGGAGTCCCAGTTGAACCTAAATTGAATGCACTTTAGGACACGTAGAGACAGATTTTTATGAGAAAGCAAACCTCTTGGGAAATAACTATTACAGGGGAGAAAGAAATTTGGCACATAGCTATGCCCAATAACATGATAGATACTGGAAGTGAAGAGCTGTTTTTAATATAGAATAATGCCTATCACTCAGCTCATCCTTCAGCCTGAAACGACTTAGGTCAAGTGCTAGGAAAACTGAGGTAACACATGAAAGGGCTCTCTTATCAAAAGGTCTGAAATCACTGGGAGCTCCATAACCATATAATGTACTGTGCCATGTGGGCTGACTCCCTGGGATTCATTCTCCCCTACATGTGCAGAGAACAGACAACAGAGAGTGCCTGCCACCTGATGGCATCAAGCATACGGGAGGCCGCCCAAGGTTCACAGCTTTGGGCACCGCATCATGTTTGGCACAGCAGAGAGGATTTGGCCCAGTGGGGCATGTGCATAGTGCGTGTTCAGTCACAATGATCAGGATTTGTGCCAGATATTGAAGAAAGGGGCCTTCATGGGATTTTATAAGCCTGAAGCCAAAAGAGAGAAAAAAATGGCAGTGATTGCGTGGTATCTGAGAGAGCTCTGTGCTTCAATCCATATGAGATACTTTTAGAAATAATAAAGGGAAACTTTGAGGGACTCCAGGTATTTCAAATAGTGGGTAGAAGCAGGCCCTAAAGAGTCCATTTATTACAATTAAAACTGTGGTATCTGGCCTCCCAAAGGCCTCCCAGCAGTCCTTGGCTTCTGATATTCACGTCCTTGGGTAGAGCCCATATACATTAATTAGTGCTGACCCATGTGACCAGTAGAATACTGTGGAAGCGATGGTGTATAATATCTGAGGTTAGGACATAAAAGGCATTGCAGCTTCCACCTGGTTTTTTTTTATTGTGGGAGAAACTAAACTTCATGCCTTAAGGAAAACCAAGCAGCTGTATGGAAAGGCCCACAGGGAGGGTAACTGAGACCTCCCACCAAAAGCCCACATTTGCCATCCATGTGAGTAAGCATATCTTTCACACATAGTCAGGTCTTCAGATGACTGTGTCCTGACCCATATCTGACTGCAGCCTCATGAGATATTGAGCCAGAACTGCTCAGACAACCCTCTTCCAAATTCCTAATACAAGAAACAAAGAGAAATACTAATAAGTGTGATTAATAGTTTTTTTAAAAGTCACTAAGTTATAGAATAATATGCTATGCAAAAATATGAACTCCATTTTTACTCACAGGATAGAAAGACCTGAGGAGAGTTTGGGTAAGACTTGAATTGCTCCTTAAGTAAAGGGTGGGATTTGGCTGGGTGCTGAAACAATGAGAAGACTTTCTTGAAAGAGGGATGAATATTGCTTAAGGCAGAAACACAGATACATCTATATTCAAAGGGACAGATTTGTTCAGGTTTGGGTCATAATCCTGAAAGACAGAATTCTGAGTGCCATAAGATCCCAAAAGATCAAATTTCCTAAAGATCAATATTCCTAAAGTCTAAAATTGCTAACATCTAAAATCCTGAAAATCACAATCACAGGATAGTTGCATTGTTAGGCAGAACAATTACCTTGTTACTGTCTTTTTGCAGAAGAAAATGAATTTCACTTGAATCCCCAAGCTATAATGACACATTTAGAACTAGGTGCAATCAAGGCTTTAAAAGTGAATTTCAAGGTGTTACCAATAAAGTTTGTTTTTTTTCCATTCAGCCAATGCATTTGGCAGAAAATTCAGATGAGAGGATTGGCCACATGTTACAGCAACAATGAGAACTTCAGTTTAAAAATGCGTCATTGCCTGCGTTGGCATTTCCTTCAGCTGATGATATTCCAGGAGCTTCTAATGAATTGAAGCTGCCTGAAGAAGCTCGTGAGGTTGCTGACTGATGCATAAATAATTATATGAATGGTAGGATAAAAAGACACTTAAGCAATGGTGTTGCTGTTTGATCACCAGTATTGTGTCTGCCAAATTTGTGGTCTTATATAAGTGCATGTGGAATAGATTTCTGTGTATGCAAAACAACACAGAAGCATGGCACAGAAGATGGGAAAATGTAATAGAAAATCTTCATGTCTGTGTATATCAAATCATAGAAGCATTTCAAAAAGAGCCAGCACCATGCAGGAAGTGAAGGTGAACATTCTGTCTGAGAAAAGCCATGTCCTGAAAGAAAACAAATCAGCTGCTCATTGTGATGCTAGGGTTCAAAATATTGTTAATGTTGTGAAAATCAGCCAGCTCCTATGAACTATCATCTCAGTGCAATTGCCCATAATCTATCCTTGTAATACAAATTTTTCAAATGCTAAATTTTCTTTTTAGTTTTCTGGAGGTTTTTTCTTTTTTTTTTCTTTTTTTTTTTTATTTTTGTTTTCACTTTGATTATTTTTATTTATTTATTTATTATTATACTTTAAGTTTTAGGGTACATGTGCACATTGTGCAGGTTAGTTACATACGTATACATGTGCCATGCTGGTGTGCTGCGCCCACTAACTCGTCATCTAGCATTAGGTATATCTCCCAATGCTGTCCCTCCCCCCTCCCCCCACCCCACAACAGTCCCCAGAGTGTGATGTTCCCCTTCCTGTGTCCGTGTGATCTCATTGTTCAATTCCCACCTATGAGTGAGAATATGCGGTGTTTGGTTTTTTGTTCTTGCGATAGTTTACTGAGAATGATGGTTTCCAATTTCACCCATGTCCCTACAAAGGACATGAACTCATCATTTTTTATGGCTGCATAGTATTCCATGGTGTATATGTGCCACATTTTCTTAATCCAGTCTATCATTGATGGACATTTGGGGTGGTTCCAAGTCTTTGCTATTGTGAATAGTGCTGCAATAAACATATGTGTGCATGTGTCTTTATAGCAGCATGATTTATAGTCCTTTGTGTATATACCCAGTAGTGGGATGGCTGGGTCAAATGGTATTTCTAGTTCTAGATCCCTGAGGAATCGCCACACTGACTTCCACAATGGTTGAACTAGTTTACAGTCCCACCAACAGTGTAAAAGTGTTCCTGTTTCTCCACATCCTCTCCAGCACCTGTTGTTTCCTGACTTTTGAATGATTGCCATTCTAACTGGTGTGAGATGGTATCTCATTGTGGTTTTGATTTGCATTTCTCTGATGGCCGGTGATGGTGAGCACTTTTTCATGTGTTTTTTGGCTGCATAAATGTCTTCTTTTGAGAAGTGTCTGTTCATGTCCTTCGCCCACTCTTTGATGGGGTTGTTTGTTTTTTTCTTGTAAATTTGTTTGAGTTCATTGTAGATCTGGTTTTTTCTTTTTTTCAGTTTTTTTCCCAGTATTTTACATTCTCAGCATTTTTTTTCTTTTTCAATTCTCTGTGATATGTATTTTATCTTTGCATCATTTCCAATACTGGAAGTATAAATCATGTAGAGACTTCTAGAAATGTCTAATTTGTTTTATGCATTTTTTGTAAATATGATTCCATGAAAGTGCATTATCACAACATTGACTTCGAGTGTAAGCATTGGAGCACGTATGTAAAAATATTGGAATTTCCTCAGTAAATGAAGACAATTTTTGTACATCTGCGTTTGTGAAAGATAAAATTTTTTGAGATCTTGGCTCTTTGGGTGATTGGTACAGTGGTGACCCATTCCAGTTTTCGATCAATCATGTCAAAAGACTTAGTTCATCCCTCACAGTATTTAGGACAGCAGTCCTAAAACACGCTATTACCAACCACAGTGATAGGTATTCATACATTTCGCTTTTGACCTATTTTTTTATGAATATAGTTCATCTGCTCATAACTGTTGTATCAGTGTGACTATCAGTATACCTGAATATTCATACTTGAAATTTGTGTTATTATTGCCTGTTATTGGGTAAAGTGGCTTATGAAGTGTTCTGCTGTGTTTTTGTATGTTTCTCAAATAAATCTCCTTTTAAAAATGTAAATATCTTTTAAATATTTTTAAAATTACTATTTGCAGAGTTATGGTGTCAGGATTTTGATCTTTTGTGAGTTCAACATTTGGATTTATGGTGTTCGTGGGTGTGTCTTTCGGGATTATCATTGGCTTCCATTTGTCCACAGTATTGAACATACAGTGAAGCAAGGAATTAGGTGAGATAGATTGGCTAGATCCAGGTTAGGGAAACCTTTATTTCTAATTTTAGGGCCTTGGATATAAACTAGAAGGCACTGGATATATGAGGTAGAAGAATAATGAAATAAATATTGGTTTTCCAGAATACTGTCTCATCTGGTGATTAGGAATTGAATGAAATAGAAGCAAGAAGACATTGGAATGAATAAATTGTTTGAATAATTTAATAATTGCAGATGGTAAATATGAATGAACTAAAAAACAAATACATTAGAGAAACTGGACTTTACATATTTTCAAATATAACCTTACTTTAGAAGACCAAGTAATATTAAACATTTCTTGTAAATCTTTGACTTAGAAGATTTTTATTCATTCATTAAAAAATATTATTTTTTATTATTTTTTAGTAAGTTGGACAGATATTATTAATAAATTTAATTCAACAAATATTACAATTAATCTTTCTTTACACAATGTCAGCAACATGGGGGCAATTATTAATTTAAATAGTTTAAATAATTTATTATCCTCTGAATTTATAGACAAAAATTTTAAGAAAATGCATAAAAGTATTTCTCCTTTATAGTTTTGTTCAGTGATTTTGTTGTTTGTTAATTTCTGCTTTGAAACTGCAAGCAGGTGTCTGAGAAAGAATTTCACTTTTCTCTGTCAAGATAGGTACTGACCTGGCCAGATAATCCCATTTGCTGGAACTAGGAAAGGAGAGATTAATTATTACTTCTATCTTTATTCAGCTGCATCTCATAGTCTTCCTTTTTATTTCTATCTTGCACTTCACTGTTTTTCTCAAGAACTCTCATCTCTGTGGAGGAAAAAATATCAATATTTGTGCCCATACCTAACAGTTGTCTGGGTCTACAGCTCTGAATGAAAACTAACATACCACACACCCAAAAGATGAAGTACTTATATCACCTCTACAGGCAAAGTATTCATGTCTATAACCACAAATCTAATCATTTAGCTGAGGTGCTAAGTGGCAGTTTTTGGAAATCTGTAAGGAATTTCTAGAGAAAAGGATATATTTAAGAAAGCTCACTTCTAATTTATATAATCGTTCTAATGTTCATGACATTTAAAAAAATTTGAAGGCTGTGATTATTAATGGTTGTGAAATTAATTTAGTGTTATAAGCATTTTTAAAATGAAATAAAATAGTGTTTAACAGAAAATGTCAAAATTAGTGGAGCACGGCAAGGATAGGTACTATGTAATAAAGCTTTTGATTCATGTTTTATATATGTTTGTTTTTGTGTGGGCCACGCTGTAATATTACCTCTTATCATGGGTCATAGTTAACATTTTTGAAAACTACTGATACTTTGGAATACAAATCCTAAAGTATAAAACGATTTTCCACCAAGAAGCAGCTTCTCTGCTCTTTCTGGGATCTCCGTCTGGTTTAGCCCACCCGCCTGCCTCCACTCCTGCTTCCACCTTGTCCATCAGGGTGACCCAGAAGTCCTACAAGGTGTCCACCTCTGGCTCCCAGGACTTCAGCAGCTGTTCCTACACAAGTGGGCCCAGTGCCCGCATCAGCTCCTTGAGCTTCTCCTGAGTGGGCAGCAGCAGCAGCTTCCTGGGTGGTCTGGGTGGAGGCTATGGTGGGGCCAGCGGCATGGGAGGCATCACCGCCATCACGTTCAACCAAAGCCTGCTGAGTCCCCTTAACCTGGAGGTGGACCCCAACATCCAGGCCGTGCGCACCCAGGAGAAGGAGCAGATCAAGACCCTCAACAACAAGTTTGCCTCCTTCATAGACAAGTTACGATTCCTGGAGCAGCAGAACAAGATGCTGGAGACCAAGTGGAGCCTCCTGCAGCGGCAGAAGATGGCTCAGAGCAACATGGACAACATGTTCGAGAGCTACATCAACAACCTTAGGAGGCAGTTGGAGACTCTGGGCCAGGAGAAGCTGAAGCTGGAAGCGGAGCTTGGCAACATGCAGGGGCTGGTGGAGGACTTCAAGAACAAGTACGAGGATGAGATCAATAAGCGTACAGAGACGGAGAATGAATTTGTCCTCATCAAGAAGGATGTGGATGAAGCTTACATGAACAAGGTAGAGCTGGAGTCTCGTGTGGAAGGGCTGACTGACCAGATCAACTTCCTTAGACAGCTATATGAAGAGGAGATCCAGGAGCTGCAGTCCCAGATCTTGGACACGTCTGTGGTGCTGTCCATGGACAACAGCCACTCCCGGACATGGACAGCATCATGGCTGAGGTAAAGGCGCAGTAGGAGGAGATGGCCAACCGCAGCCAGGCTGAGGCTGACAGCATGTACCAGATCAAGTATGAGTAGCTGCAGACGCTGTCTGGGAAGCATGGGGGTGACCTACAGCGCACAAAGACTCGGATCTCTGAGATGAACCGGAACATCAGCTAGCTTCAGGCTGAGATTGAGGGCCTCAAAGGCCAGAAGTTTCCCTGGAGGCCACCATCACAGATGCCGAGCAGAGTGGGGAGCTGTCCGTTAAGGATGCCAACCGCAAGCTGTCCGAGCTGGAGGCTGCCCCGCAGCCGGCCCAGCAGGAGGACATAGCGCGGCAGCTGCGTGAGTACCAGGAGCTGATGAACGTCAAGCTGGCCCTGGACATTGAGATTGCCACCTGTAGGAAGCTGCTGGAGGGCGAGGAGAGCTGGCTGGAGTCTGGGATGCAGAACATGAGTATTCATCCATAGGAAGACCACCAGCGGCAATGCAAGTGGGCTGAGCTCAGCCTATGGGGGCCTCACAACTCCCAGCCGCAGCTACCGCCTGGGCTCCAGCTTTGGCTCTGGCGCGGGCTTCAGCTCCTTCAGCCGCACAGGCTCCACGAGGGGCGTGGTTGTGAGGAAGATTGAGACCCGCGATGGGAAGCTGGTGTCTGAGTCCTCTGAGGTCCTGACGTCCTGACGTCCTGCCCAAGTGACAGGTGCGGAAGCCCCTCCCAGACTACTGCTCCTGCGGCTGCCCCAGAGCCCGGGAGGGAGGCCGTTGTGCAGAGTAGCACAGGGAACGGGGGACCCACCTGAGGGTCAGCCCTAGTCCTCAGCTCACCTGCCAGGGAGTTTACTGCCTGGGGACCCCCCTTGCCCATTTCTCCAGCTGCAAAACAATTTAGTTGCTTTATTTTTTTGTCCAAAATAAAACCTCAGGTAGCTCTGCCAGAAAAAAAAAAAAAAAAAGATTTTCCAGTTAAGTAGTAATTTTCTGAATAATTTTTCTCCCAAATTAGAAATAGTTGGTAATAGAAAATGGAAACAGATTATATAAGTAGCTACAAGAAGTTTCACACTCCTGTAAATTGTTCTATGACCTGTAGTTATGTACAAAATAAAAGTTCATAATTCCAACATTAGCTCCAAAAATGATATAATTATTGACCTTAGGATAACAATATCAACACTTCCTATCCAGGTCTCTTTATCTAAAACTATATAAGAAAAAAGTAATAGTAAATATCTTTTCAGAATATTGTTGCAGTATGTGACAGAAAATGACTAGAATGACTTGTGGGTACAGCATATTTAGCATTGCGCAGCAGTATGCTTCAGTTAAGTTCCTGAGAAAGTTACGTTTGTTCCTTATGTATGTTTCTCTGCCAACAAATTAATTATCCACCTTTTCAATGCAGTCCAAAGCAAACTATATTTTATGACACAAAGTCATTAAAAACTATGATCCAGGACAATACCTACAAAATGAAAGTAAAAATAAGAAAGAGAACATCAAAAATGCTTGTTAGAGTAACATTTTAATGAATTCAGTATAATAAATTTTTCCCATGACCTGCGATATTTGCATTAATTACTGCATCAATAATCTTGCATAGCAATATCTGGCTACATGGAATTATATGCTTTGGGGTCTGCTCCTCATTTCATACCCTGATAGTCTCAGATTTCTAGTCATCCTATCCTTTAACAGGATAGCAATAGTTGATGATATTGACAAACTTTCAAATTATGGTAGAATAGAAATGTAGAAAGAGCAAATTGGCTTAAATTTAAAACCACATCCATGTTCTAGTAATTGATATAAACACCTGGAGTTTGAGCAGTGACTTGCTAATTAACTCCCAAGTAACTTGGATTTTTCCTGCACATTTGCAATCTACATTTCAATGCAAATTAATTCAGTTCAATCCAGTAAATATTTGTTGATTCTCACTTAAATAGCAAGCACTGTTATTTTGCTGTTATGCTTCCTGCTCTCAAGGTGTTTATAATGAGGAAAAAGAGATAAGCAAGCACATAACTCAGAAATCAAGGCAGAATATGCTTAATGCCTTGGAAAAGATTACCAAGAGAGTGCTTTAGAATGCTTATGCAAACAGAAAAAGGTAGTAGCATGAGTTTTGACAGATAATATATATCTCAGAGGGGGTATTGTAAGGATTAAATGCAACATATAATCCAGAGGGAGCAACTGAGACAGAGTCTCAGCAAATATTAGCTATCGTTATTTTCATTTTTATAGTTGCTGCTATTTTTATTTTCCAGTGTAGCTTATTTAAATAAGAATGATCACATTTGTGTAGCTATCTGCGTTTGCTATTTTGATCGCCTTGAATTCACTGGGTTAGAGAGCTGACTAAATCAATTATATTGATTTCAAATCAATACATAAGTACGGCATGGTAGATTTTTAACACCTACAGTGCATTAGTTGTACCTGCTTGTTGCTATCACCACCTCTTCTGAATTCCACAAGAAACTCCCTCTTCAGGTTTGTTGGGATTTCCAAAAGAAGAAACGTATCTGGGAGTGAAAATTATTTCCTTGGTTTTCCTAGAGACTTCATTGTTCCTGTTGACATTCCTCTCTCCCTAAGTTGAGGAATTTCACAGCAAACTTTTCCAGCTTGTGAACTCCATCATTCCTCTTAAAGCTTAGCCGCACAAAGATCACATCATAGCTCATCAGAGGACTGTCTGCTTTGTCTGTGATATCCAGCTTAAGGGGCTCTGGAGGCTTGTCTTTGATTTTTATAATTATTATAACCATAGTTGAAAACATGTTTTGTTTTGTTTTTCTATCTTCTCAGTTAAACACTTTGGGGAGTAGGAGGAGCTTATCAGTTACTTAAACACTGAAATGTTTAATGTTCAGTTGCTATTATGCATTCAAGGTGTGGCAATGCAAAAATCGCTCTTTCTTTAGTGGCCTGTGATGAATGTCCCTATGTGCTTCACAGAGTATGAACAATCAAATCTCATGTTACCTCTTTGAAAATGAAAACCGGTTTCTTTATCTCTGTTCCACGTAGAGTCTGGCAAAGTTAATTCTCTGTCAAGGTATCAGAAAGACTAGATGAAGCCAATGTATTATTTTTATTTACTCCTGTCTTTGTATTTAATGCAAATTATATGTAAGATAGTAAATTTGGCTAAGAAATCATTGCACTGATCAACTTGAGAAAAATTCCAAGGACTTTCTCTCTCTCCATCATTTATTGTGATAATGCCAAAAGTTGTTGGTGTTTTTTAATGAATGACATTCTTTGGGGATATTCAGATTGTTCCATGTATGTCTTGGATAAATATTCATATTTTCCATTTAAAGGCAAAAAGGATGTATCCTAGGAAATAAACAGATATATAGCAAGGTTCATAGGGTTGCATTTTAACCTCCAATTAGATTGCTCTGATAGGAGACAGTTCCGTGTGATTCAGAGAAGAGATCACTGGAACTCAGGAATGAGACTAGTTCCAGATTTGCTACTCCCTAGTTGCATGACTTTAGACAATCTTTTAATTCCATATAACCTCAGTGTTCTCATCTGTGAAATAAAGAGGTGCATCCAATAAACCTTGAAGCTTCCTGTGGACTCTATAATTCCACAAATCTAACAAGCTATTGCCAGAAAGATAAAATTAACCGGGCATTGGAATTGTATACAATATCTAGCACATGCTAAAGAAAAAGACAAGGTAGGGAACTTGAATTATTAATTTCTCAGATATTCTGAGTATTTACTAAGTCCATGACATTGGGCTAGATGGTGTGTGTGTGTGAGTGTGTGTGTGTGTGTGTGTGTGTGTGTCTTTAGTGTGGCAGGAATCCTAACCTTAAGGGGCTTAGAATCACCCAGTGAGGAAGACTAAGTGTTTGCATGAGTAATCCTCACGGTAAATACAAACAAGGAACCTTCATTTTTAGGAAATTAACTAGGCAATTGAGGCACAATTCATTTTATCTTTTTAAGACAACCCTTGATGTTCTGTGATAAATGGCTCAATCTAAAATTACTTCAGAGTGAAAATAATTTTACTGCATATCAAAGCGTCACAATTTGTAGGCAAAATGTGTGGGTGTGCCTGTTTAAAAAACAAGTAATTAGGCCAGAAAACTCCACTTTTTTGGTTCTGCCTTTCCTGAAGACAAACCAATCCCAATCCCTGATTGATAATAATTTGTAAAACAGGTGGTAGGGCTGAACAGACAGATTAGGGATAGGTGTTAATCAAATTCACACTGTTTGTGTTTTTATAGGAAACCAGCGAGGAAATGGCTAGAGTTTGGGGCTGCTGGGTTCTGTTAGGTAAATTTTTAGCTTTGATTAATGATGCTACCAGACCATATTTTCTAATCACATATAACATGTTAGAAATCTATATCTTCACATAGGCTCCTCCCATTTCTATTGCAAATTGTTCATACTGTCCTCATTTCTGAGGCAGCCAAGCACTTAAAAAGATTTTTCTCAGTTCAGGTTTTGATTTTTCCTAAATGCTCAATAATAGATAAAAAGAAGCTTATAAATAAACTGTTCTTGATTCAGTATATCAACAGTAAGCTAATTTGTCACAGAAACAAGCAGAAGATGTTTTTTGAAAATATGTATTACACAGTTCACATACTGAGGCTGAGGAATGCCAAGTGGTTTATGAACACAGACTTCTTGTAGACATATATATGAAACATTGATGGCTGTTTATCAGGAAGAGAGGAACATGATTAGATTCGTGTTTTAGAAAGGCAATCTGGGGTGAGAAAGAAAAAAATGGGAATATAATTTAAAAATATGTTAACTTCAATGATTCAAGTGAATGGCTATACATATTTGTGCTAGGAGATTTAGAGGTGAAGCAAGAGGGCCAAATAGAATCCTCCAGTGATCATCCCCCACCCCTTGCAGGAACACCAGATGGAACTATCCACAAAAGAAAGCACCTTTATGCCATGTGTGGTGGCTCCCACCTGTAATCCTGGCACTTTGGGAGGCCAAGGCAGGTGGATGGCTTGAGCCCAGGAGTTTGAGACCAGCCTGGGCAACGACATGGCAAAAACCCATCTCTACAAATAATAAAAAATTCATCCAGGCTTAGTGGTGCATGCCCGTAGTCCCCACTACTTGGAATGTTGAAGTGGGAGAATCACTTGAGCCCAGAGGCAGGGGTTATAGTGAGCTGAGATTGTGACACTACACTCCAGCCTTGGTGAAAAAGCAAGGCCCTGTCTCATAAAGCACCTTTATAAGAACCAAAAAGCATGTGAGTTATCACAGTACTTGGTTTTAACATCACATTAAGGAAAGAGACGCTAAAGAGGGTAGGAAAGACAGTCTTGAATCTCCTGAACTATCCCTCCTCCATCTCCCAGCTGCACAGTATAACACCGAGAGAGAATCTGTGTGCTTGACAGAGGGGAAGTGCAGTGATTGTGGGCTTTGCATTGGAACTCAGTACCACCTGTTACAGCAGAAAGCAATACAGGGCAGAACACAGCTGGTGCCCATGGAGGGAGGATTTAGACCAGCCCTAGGCAGAGGGAAATCACCCGTTCCAGTGCTTGGGAACTGAGTTCCAGCCAGCCTCACTACCATGGGCTAGAATCCTAAGTGATCCAAGTGATCAAGAATCCTAAGTAAACTTGAAAGGCAGTTTACGCCACAAGGACTGCAAGTCCTGGTGCTCTTCTGGGCTCAGAGATAGTGTACTTGGGGTACACATGACCTAGTGAGACACAGCTAGAGCAGCCAACAGAGTGCTTGCTTAACCCCTCCCCCAACCCCAGGCGGCACAGCTCGCAGTTCCTGGAAAGACTCTTTCCCCCTGCTTAAGGAGAGGAGAAGGGACAGCAAAGAAGACTTTGTCTTGCAACTTGGCTACCAGCTCAGCCACAGTGGAATAGGGCACCAAGCAGGGTCCTGAAGCCCCCATTCCAGGCCTTAGCTCCTACCTGACATTTCTAGACACACTGTCGGCCAGAAGGGAACTGCTGCCTTGGACAGGAGGAGCCAGTTCCCTCAAGATTCATCACCTGCTTATTAAGGAGCCATTGGGCCTTGAATAAACATCAGCAGTATCCAAGAAGCAGTGCCATGGGCGCTTACTTGGGTGAGACCCTGTACTGTGCTGCCTTCCGGTGTGACAGTGGATTCCCAGCTGTAGTGGCCACAGAGACACTCCTTCTGCTTCGTGAAAGAAGAAGGAAGAGTAAAAAGGTTTTTTTTCTTGCAGCTTGTAGCAGCTCAGCTACAGTAAAATAAAACACCAAGGAAATTTCTAAAATCCCCAGTTCCAGACCTTACTTCCTGGACAGCGTTTCTAGACCCATCCTGGGGCAGAAGGGAACCCACTTGCCTGAAAGAAGAGACCCAAGCCTGGCAAAATTCACCACGTGCAGACTAAAGAGCCCTTGAGCATTGAAAAGAACATCAGTGGTAGCCAGTCAGTACTTACCACATGGGCAGTGGTGGCCGTGAGGAGAGACTCCTGCTTGAGGAAAAGAGAGGAAAAAAAAAAGAACTTTGTCTAACAACCTGAGTACCAGCTCAGTCACAGTAAAATAAAGTACTAAGTAGATTCCTGACATTCTCACCTCCAGGTTGTAGCTCCTGCACACCATTTCTAGACACACACTGAGCTAGAAGGGAACTCTCTACCCTAAAGGGAAAGACACAAGGCAGGCTTGATTCACCACCTGCAGACTAAAGAGCCCTTGGACTTTAAATAAACATCAGTGGAAGACAGACAATAGTCACTGCAGGCCTTCGGTGAGACCCAGTACTGTGCTGACTTCTGTCTGACCCAGCATAGTCCCAGTGGTGGTACCACAGGGGTGCTTCTCTCACACCTCCCTCAACTCCAGGCAGCTCAGCTCAGAGAGACAGAAACTCCGTTGGTTTGGGGTAAAGTGAGGGAAGAAAACAAGAGTCTCTGCCTGGTAATCCAGGTAATTCTGTCAGATCTTACCCAAGACAACCAAGGGGTATCTCTATGAGTATGCAAGAGTCACAGCATTACTGGGTTTGGGAAGGCCTCTAATGCAGATATGGCTGCAATGACCAAAGACTTAGATCACAGCACTCAATTCCCTTTGAGTAATTGGAAAGCTTTCCTAAGAAGAATGGGTACAAAATAAGCTCAGAATACAACAAACACCTCACTCTTCAATGCCTAGACATCGATGAGCATCCCAAAGTGTCAAGGCCATCCAGGAAATCATGATCTCACCAAACTAAATAAGGCATCAGAGACCAATCCCAGAGTGACAGAGGTATGTGATCTTCCAGACAAAGTATTCAAAATAGCTGCATTGAGGAAGCTGAACAAAATTTAAGGTAACACAGAAATTCTGAATCCTATAAAATACATTTAACAAATAAATTAAAATTATTTTTAAAAATTCAAGTAGCAATTCTGCAGCTGAAATGTTCAATTAGCATAGTGAGGAATGTGTCAGACTCTCTCAACAGCAGAATTGATTGAGTAGAAGAAAGTATTAGTGAGTCTGAAGACAGGTTATTTGAAAACATACAATCAGAGATTGTATAAAAGATTAAAAAACAATGAAGCATGCCTACAAGATCTAAAAAATAGGTCCAAAAGGGCAAATTTAAGAGTTATTGGCCTTAACAAGAAGGTAGAGAAAGAGATGGGAGTAGAAAATTCATTCAAAGCAATAACAGAGAACTTTCAAAACCCACGAAAAGATATCAATATTCAACCACAAGAAGCTTATAGAATACCAAGTAGATTTAATCTAAATAAAACTACATTAATACTTTTAATAATCAAACTCCCAAAGTTCAAGGATAAAGAAAGAATTCTAAAAGCAGCAAGAGAGAAGAAACAAATAAGATACAAAGGACCTCCAATACATCTGACAGCAGACTTCTGAGTAGAAACCTAACAGACCAGGAGAGAGTGGCATGAAATATTTAAAGTGTTGAAAGAAAAAAAAGAAACCTTTTATCCTAGAATAGTATATCCAGTGAAACTATACTTCAAACATGAAAAACACATAAATATTTCTCCCGATAAATGAAAGGTGAGGGATTACATCAATACCAGAACTTTCCTATAAGAAACACTAAAGGGAATTCTTCAATCTGAAAGAACAGGACATTAATAAGCAATAAGAAGTCATCTGAAAGGTATAAAACTCACTGCTAATGGTAAGCACACAGCAAAACATAGAATAGTATAACACTGTAATTGTGGTGTGTAAACTACTCATATCTTGAGTTAAAAGACTACAATATGAACCTATGAAAAATAATAACTACAACAACTTTTCAAGACATAGACAGTATAGTAACATATAGATAGAAACAACAAAAAGTTAAAAAGGGGGATGAATTAAAGTATAAAGTTTTTATCACTTTTCTATTTGCTTGTTTGTTTGTTTTGGCAATTAGAGTAAAATTGTCATCAGTTTAAAATAATGGGCTGTAAGATGTTATTTGCTAGTTTCATGGCAACTTCAAAACAAAAAAAAAATACAACTGATACACAGAAATGAAAATCAAGAAATTAAAACACACCATCAGAGAAAGTCCTCTTCACAAAAAAAAAAGAAAAAGAGAGGAGGAAACCATAAAACAATCAGAAAACAAATAATGAAATGGCAATAGAAAGTTCTTACTTATCAATAATAACATTAAATATAAATGAGCTAAAGTCTCTAATTAAAAAATAGAGTAGCTGAATGAATTTTAAAAAAAGACCCAATGATCTGTTGCCTACAAGAAGCTCTTCACCTACAAAAACACATGTAGACTGAAAATAAAGGGATAGAAAAAGATATTCCATGCCAATGCAAACCAAAACAAGAGCAGAGTAGCTACACTTCATCAGACAAAATAGATTTCAAGACACAAAGTATAAAAAGAGACATAGAAAGTCATTATATATGATAAATAAGTCATTTCAGCAAGAGGGTATAACAATCGTAAATATATACGCACTCAACACTGGAGCACCTAGATACATAAACCAAATATTATTGGAGCTAAAGAGAGAGAAAGACCTCATTACAATAATAGCTGGAGACTTCAACAGCCTTCTTTCAGTAATGGACAGATCATCCAGACAGAAAAGAAATAAAAAAATTGGACTTAATCTACACTATAGACAACATGTTTCTAATAGATATTAATATTTACAGAACATTTCATTCAATGGCTACAGAACGTACATTCTTCTACTTAGCACACAGATCATATTTAAGGATAGACCATATGTTAGCCCAAGGAACAAGTCTTTAAAAATTAAAAAAAAATCATATCAAGTATCTTCTCTAACCACAATGGAATAAAATTGGAAATCAGTATCAAGAGGAGGGTGGCAGACCAAAATGGTGGAATAGAAGCCTACAGAGTTTGCCTGAAAGGAGCACCACATTTCAACAACTATCTGCACAGAGAAAAGCACCATCACAAGAATCAATATCAGGTGCAGTAATCACAGTACCTGGATTTAACTTCACATCATTGAATGAGGCATTGAATTGGGTAGGAGAGACAGTCTTGTTTTGCCAACACTACCACTCTCCTGTCCACCAGCAGTGGGTGTGTGGTGTGGAGAATGAGTCAGAATTCTCTCAGATAAATTTAACAAAGAGATTGAAATATTAACAATTGAAAAGAGTCAAACAGAAATTCTAGAAAAATGCAACTGACATACTGAATAATGCATCAAAATATCTTAATAGCAGAATTGATTAAGCAGAAGAAAGAATTAGTGAGTTTGAAGACAGATTATTTGAAAATACACAGTCAGAGGATACAAAAGAAAAAAAAATCATCTATAAGACCTAGAAAATACCCTCAAAAGGATAAATCTAAGAATTATTGGCCTTAAAGAGGAGGTAGAGAAAGAGATAGGAGTAGGAAGTTTATTCAAAGGGATTATAACTATTTAAAAATTCATATGGAACCAAAAAAGAACTCTAATAGCCAAGAAAATATTTGAAAACTACCAATCTGACAAGGGATTAAAAACCAGAATATATAAGGAGCTCAAACCACTCTATAGGAAAAAATCAAATAATTAGATCAAAAAATGGGAAAAAGATCTGAATAGACTTTCCTCAAAGAAGATATACAAATGACTAATAGTATATGAAAAGATGCTCAACATCACTGCTAATTAGAGAAATGCAAATCAGAACCATGATGAGAAATCATCTCACCTCAGTTAAAATGGTTTTTATCCAAAAGATAGGCAGTGAGAAACGATGGCAAGGATGTGGAGAAAAAGTAGCCATAGAACACAGTTGTTGGGAATGTAAATTAGTACAGCCACTATGGAAAAGAGTATGGAGGTTTCTCAAAAAACTAAAGATAGAACTACCATATGACCCAGCAATCCCACTGGTAGGTATATGTTCATAAGAAAGAAAATAAATAAATCGAAGACATATCTATGCTCCTATGTTTATTGTAGCACTATTTATCATAGCCAAGCTTTGGAAGCAACCAAAGTGTCCATCAACAGACAAATGGATAAAGAAAATGTGATACATACACGCAATGCAGTACCATTTGGCTATAAAAAAGAAGAAAATTATGTCGTGGCAACAACATGGATGGAACTGGAAGACATCATATTAAGTGCAATTAACCAGGCATTTCTTCTTTGCATATTCTTCTCATTTGTGGTAGCTAAAAATTAAAACAATTGAACTCATGGGAGTAGGGAATAGAATAATGATTACCAGAGGCAGGAAATGGAAGTGGGGGGTAATGGAGCATGTTAATGGGTGCAAAAATGTATTTAGATAGAATGCATACAATCTAGTAGTTGATAACACAACAAGGTGACTTAAGTCAACATAAACGTATTGTCTATTTACAGATTACTAAATGAGTATAATTGGAATGTTTTTAACACAAAGAAATGATAAATGCTTGAGGTGATGGGTACTCCATTTACTCTGAGGTGATTTTTATGTATTATGTGCCTGTATCAAAATATCTCGTGTACCCCATAAGTATATACACCTACTACGTACCTATAAAATTTGTATTATTCCAGTTGCTCCCTGTCAGAAATACATTTTCTCAAGAACTATGCCTGCCATCTTAGAGAAAAAGTGTTTAGGGTAATTGGTCCCATGGTTTAATTCAAATGCCCATATCAAACCATATGCTTAACAGTGTTACTACGTTTCCTAATCAGAGGCTTAATCAAAGGGTGATAAAGTGTATTTTCAAAACTGAAAATAAGTCATAAGGCTTTTGGTTTTTTGGCTTGGAATCTCTGAGAAGTAATAGCTAGATCTTGGAGAGAGGTTTGATTGGAAGGGAGAAGGAAGAAAGTGATCCTTCTCTGTAATTTACTGATTATTAGCATCAGGTTTTGTAATTTATTGTCTATTTGATGTCTAGCACTGTGCTCTGAACTAGAATGCATAGTTTCTTTCCATCTATAACCTCTAATATAATCGCCTATAATTTTAATTTTAATTTTAATTCTTGTTGATAACTATTGGTTCAAAAATCATGGTAAAACTTGAGAAATTCAAAAAACAGTGTCAATAATGGTATTATAGTAAATTATGAGCCAGACGAATCCTTTATTTTCATTTTTGTCTCTTAAAAAGTCATCTGTATCTAGTAAGAAATTATAACACTGCCAAAGAGAATACATACAACAAAACAAATGCCCACTTCTTATCTTTAGTCCTTTAGTTTCCTCTCTGAAGTCAACCAGATTTTGGATTCTTGTGTATACATATTCAGAGATATTCTAGTCTCTCCAAGCATCATGTATGTAAATATCTGTATCTTATACTTTCTTTTTTCCCACTTAGTAGTATCTGAGTCTTACTTTTGTGCACTTTGTTTTTATGTTTACTTTTTTAAAAAACTTGGCCTATCTCAGTATATATACAGTATATACATATACATATATGTATATTTATACATCTACATAGATGTATATATATACATATATATACAGTATATATACACATATAGATATATATATCTGTGTATATGTACACACATATACAGATATGTATATCTTTCATGTAACAGTTATATAGTATTTCATTATATACCTGCACCACGATTCAACTGACTTCTTACCGATGGACATACCAACTGGTGAACAACACTGTTTAAGGTTAAGAAAATGCAACAGAGCTTCATAGGTGGGAATACTGGGTCATAAGTCTATCTCTGGGTTTGATTCTTTATATTCCATGTGGTTTTGAGTCTATTTTACTGTGTTTCTGTGCTTCTCCCTATGTTTTTTTCCCATTTGTCTGTTTCTTTCTGTCTACACAAATACATTTCTAGTCACTAATCCCTTTTTTGTATCTCACGGTTATGTGGACATACTTTAGAGTTTAAGTGTGGAATAGTGGGAAGCGTGGTGAGTGGAGGTGGGACTCAGTTCTGGTTCTGCCACTAACCAGATTTCAGACATTTTCTTTTTATACCTAAAGCCATTAATTTTCCCATTTGTTGACCTACATAAACTTTAAAACTCCCCTTTGTATTATTTTGTGCATTTTTTTTCTTTTACTTATCTGTTTATTCAGTCATCATTTAATACATTTTATGGAGAATATTCTATTTATCAGGTCTTGTGGAAAGCACTTATCAGTGGGGGAAATTGTAAAGATAAATGAAATATTTCTTGGTTTTGACTCAATCCAATGGAAAACACAGATAGAATCAAATAGGTATATTGCATTCAATTGTATTTATAAAGGAAGTTTTAAGTTCCTATTTTCCTAATTTTTAAAGTGGAGCAATGGAATATTGATGGGCATTTATTTAAAACTTCCTTTTTAATTGTAATGGAATAAATATTTCCTGAGGACCATTTGCCCTCAAGAAAACAAATAGAACAATTTATGATTGTATTATTTCAAAAAGGGAAGTGCTCAAGATTTTGCATAATGGGTAATTTTGTATTTTAACTGGTTCTTTTCAGTTATTATTCACATGTAGCAATTCACATGCTTGATAATTTGGGGAAACAGATGCATATCTCATTCTGATTAGTAAGGGATAGATGATGTGCCACATATGAGTTGAGTCATAGACTGGCCATGAGAGAGAGACCTTTTCTGCTACTGATGGAAGCAAGGGTGAGAAAATAAGATCTGGAGCTCACTTAGGGTCCTTACTACATAGGGGCAGGGACAGGATGCCAGAATAGTAAAGAGAAAAAAAAACAACACCACCTTTATGGGAATGGTAAAATGTAATGCTTTCTTGGAGTCCTGCTTCATTTAAAACTAAATACAGAAAATCTGTTCAGAGCTATTTGCATGCTTCTCTTCCATCAACTCTGTGCTACTAACCTATATCAGATTCTTTAAAAAATATTTTAAATGGTAAATATTTAATCGAGAAATTAATATTGGTATTCAAAAAAAATGTAACCCCATTTATAGGAAGGTTTAGATAATGAAAATGTGAGTGGGAGGACATTTAATAGCCCATTGGCTGAAATATCATTAATATTTTATCTCACATAGTTTTGTTGTCATTGTCATTTAATTTTGTTTTTCTCCTAAGAAAAACTGAGAAAATGACCTGTAAGTTTGAAGGCTAAATATATTTCTGTGGGCAAGATGACTAATCAAATTAAAGATGAAAGTTGCATCAATCCATCTATACATTGCAAGAACAAAAATAAAAAATTGCCTTTTATCTACTTTAATATTCAAATTATAAAATGTAACATATAGAGCTGAACATGATGTAAATGTAAAATATTTCTGAGCCTCAGTTTTCTCATCTGTAAAGTGAAAATAATTACAATAATATGAATACATATTGGATAAGATTGTTATGAGAAATAAATAAAATAATGGATTTTTAATACTTAGCATAATGCCTGACACATGATTAGTGCTCAATTGTATTTGACATTATTAGGTGATATTCATAATCTGCTGAACCTGAAGAATAGAACTTGTTCCAGAGCAGGGAAATAAGAATGAATATGACTAATAAATAGGTGTTACTTTTAGGATTTGCGTAAGTTAAAGTACAAGTGCATTACTCTGTTGAGAATGGATGAGGAATTACTTCTGTGCCTAATTTCTGAGGAATTAGTGCTTTATTATCTGTTCTCAAAGGAGGACTTTAAGTGGGGGAATTCTGGGCATATTGGAGAATTTCTATATATTATCTTTCAATAAAATTACATGTATTTTGTCAAACTTGGGGAAATATTTTTGGATGTACCACATTGCATAGGTGCCTTTTAAATATTAATTTTTAACATGATTCCATTAAAGCCAAACTTCAACTGTATACATACATTTTTGACAAATAGCTGCAGCTCTTTCTCATTTTAGGAAATGATAGGGTAGATGTGCTTACTAAAAACTGACAGATAAAAACAGCACCCTTGCTCAGGAGCTCCCTCAAGTTTAGCAACAAAAATGTAAACAATATCTTCTAGAATTGGCTCCCATGTCTATTTAGTGTTTATTAATTGGACTCACCTTTGCTTGAAACCTGATCTTTGCCCAGTAGTGTTCTTTCTTCCTTCTCACTAGCCCCAGCCTTTTCCTCTCTTTCTTGTTTTTTCTACCTTTCTCCCTCCTGCAGTGAAAAAAGCAGTATGAAACTTCCCTCTAGAGACCCTCCATCAAATGGCCATATGGGTTTAATGTATAATGCATGCAAAGCAGCGTGAGTTGCAGATGATTCAAAAGAGAAGCTTCTGAGGCTGGGCTCAGGAGGCATTCTTTAATAATAATTAGAAAATCAAAGAGCATCTTACTGTTATTCTAGTCATTTGACTGTAATGTAATAACCTTGACCCAAATAGTGCCAGGGAGTAATATACCGCTATAATGCAACCTTCTCAACACAATTATTGTGCAAATGCACTTATTCATAAGTAATAGGTTCATTGTCTTTAGAATTTCCTGCTTAGATTTGACTAGAAATCTATGGACACCTCTCTAACTTGAGATATATCACTAAGGTCTCAGGCAGACACAAAATAATGAGAGGTTTAATTTAGATGTTAATTTTTCAGTAACATATTAAGAAGCTATTTTGGGAGAGGCAGTTAGGGCAAGACTTGGGCATGGTCTTTCAGCTAGTGATGTCAACTTTTAAGAGAATGTCTTTTTTCTTTGCTTCTGGCCCAGGGATAAGATTTGAAATTAAGACTTGTGAACTTTTACTTTGCCACCATACCCCAAATTTTTACACTTAATCAGGGGTTTTAAAAACCCTAAAAAGTAGTAGAATGTAGAAATATTTATTCGGCACTTAATATGAGTAATGAGCTCTTGGTAAGTTATGAACAAACAAACAAAGCTGTTCCTCAAATAAATCAGTGTGCATGACTTCACTTTTGATGTCTACAAGGAAAGTTCTGCAATCCTTCGGCAAATCTTACTGGAGATACATTATTTATTGGGAAAAATTGGTCCAGAAGTTTTCTAAGGTGAGCAAAAATACTGGGGACAGTTCATCTCATTTACCAAGGAGCTGCAGTCAAGGCTCTCTGGATATTTTATGAATAAAGATACATGCATAATTACTTCATAAAGTTCCAGGGCTATGACATTTGATCCAATTTTAGGAATATTCTGTAAAAGAGAGAAGACTGAATGTTTAAAAAAAATCAGAGTTTCTTTAAGCTGAAAGGAAATTTAGATGGCACAGATTTAAAGAATCATTGAACTTAATCTGATGTAGGGCCTAGATGGTAGATAGCATGGTCCTCTTATATTGCACATGAAAGAACTGAGGACAAGTCATCAACCATACACTTATTATATGGGATTCATCAGGTGGACATTCAACCTCGGCTTAAACACTTCCAGTGACAGAAAGGTGACTTTTCTTGTGGCTACTATCCCAGTATTGAATGTCTTAAATTGTTATGCAAATTATTATGCAAATTTCCCTATACAAAGTTTCCTTTTACAAAATTCACTTTTCATTATTTTTTGCTCAGCGTGTCAGAAAGCAAATCATAAAATGATTTATCAAAAATCGACCTCTTTAGCATTTAATTTTTGCTAGCACAATGATATTTTGATGTTGCAGCACAAATCCATGGGAAAGAATAGATTGTTGATGATGTTAGGAAAACTTGTTCTCTATACAGAGTACCTTACAATGTATACCTAATTAAATACCTACATGTGAAAAGTGATAGTATAAAGTAAGAGAAGATAATTCAGGAGCATATGTTTGTGATTTAGGAGCAGGGAAGGAGTTGTTCAACACAACCTTTAAACTGTAAAGCATAAGAAGAAAACTGATCATATTTTTTATCAGAATTAAATATCTGTTCAATGAAGGACATCAGAGACTAAGATAATGCATAGGGAACAGGATGACAAAAGGTGGGAATCATTTGTAGTATCTACAAGTAATAAGGCATTAATAACTAGACTAGAAAAGGAATTCTTACAAATTAACAAGAAGCTGACAGAAACTTCAATAAAAAATGAGCATGAGATTTGAAAGGCAGCTTACAAAGTGGCATCTCAAGAGGTTAACAAGCAAAGAGATGCTCAAATTCATTTGTAATGCTGAAAATGCAAATCAAAAGAATGATGAGCTATCATTTTATACCTATGCTCCAGGCATTAAGTAGAAAGCTAAACAATGCCAACTATTGACAAGTTTGTAGAGGTATAGGTATCCATATTTATTGCTGGTGGGAGATAAAACTAATGTATCCACTCAGAAGGGCAATATGAGCTCACTTATTCAAATCTATGTTCTCATACCTTATGTCTAAATTATTTATTTCTTCAATATATATCCCAAGAAAAGTCTCACACAGATTCATTAGGGGACATGTACAAGGATGTTTATTGCTGTATTATTTGTGGTGGTGGGAGTTGAACTAATCATCACTGGCAGAGCAGATAATAGAATGTGTTGGGTGCATATTATGGAATACTATATAGTGGTTAGAAATAATAAATGATATTCATATAGCAAATATAGATGGATTTTAAAAACACAGTGCTTAGTAAACACATGAAAACACTATTTACCTAAATGAATTCATATATTAGAAATCACAATTGGAATTCATGCATTTAAAACAAAAAAATCACATTTTTATAGTTAAATATATAATGAAAACTAAACACATTGAACAGAAATGGCTGCCTAGAGAGGGAGTAGTGAATAGCATGTAGGAAAGGAAATAAGAGGAACCAAATAAAGAAAAGAGACTTTTTTATAGTCCAATGTAATAACATGCCCTGACCTACACAGCCTGATTAGCTCAACCCTTTGCATCTGAAGGTCAAAGGAAAAAGATACCTCATAACAATGCCTTGAAGAGCCTTTGGAATCATGGAAAAAAAAATTCCTAAACATATTTAGCATCAGTGACATTTTATCATAATCTAAATATTTGACATTAGAATACTGCATGTAAATATAAGGAACTTGAAATTATCCAAAATTAGTTTGGCTAATCAAATACTGTGGTTAATTGTGAAGTTTTTATTAAACAGGTACATTTAGAAAGAACAAAGCTACAAAGCTTACTAATAAAATGTTGAACATTTATTCTTGTCACCTTCCCACTATATTTTTCACTGTTTTGCATTCTTAACCTTATTTGGAAACTGGTCACTTTTCAATTGTTATACCTCTGATTCTCCAGTTTTTTTCCCCCTACTATGTTGTATGTAACAGGCCAGAAGCCTGTTTAAAAAAAAAAATCCTGCTGTTGTTATTATTATTATACCATTTTGGAATGGAGCCATTTCTAAATTACTTCCTATTCAGGAGCAGAAGTAAATGCTGGTAGGCATTTGACAGCATAAATATAGTGTGGGTTCCTGGGCAAGTGACATGGGCAGTCACATAGGGCTTCATTCTCAGAAGGGACCTGGGCTTGTTTTCAAGCTCTGTAGTCACCACCCTGAAATTTCTAATAAGTTTTTAACAAGGGGCCCCACATTATTATTATACACTGGACTCTTGCTCTCAAATTGTATATCTAGCCCTGCAGAAACAAATGCAGAATTAAATGTATTTAACAGTGCTTTGTTGAACATCTCTCATGTACTAGGCACTGGCAGCTCAAAGGTAAATAAGGAATTCCTCTTCTTTATTATAACAAAGGAGACACACATTGGAGTTCATTATAACAAAGGAGACACACATATCAACAACTAATTTATAGGGCAATACATATTCACGATTGTGAAAGCCTGCTTCCCATGAACATATTTTTGTTTGTTTGTTTGGGAGGTGTGGGGATTTACAAATGAACAAAGGAGTTAGAAGTGTTTGTTTCACATAGATGCGTAGAATCAAATAGATATTAGAATTAGTTCATTTAAAACACAATGGAAGTAAATCATTCCTATCCAGAAATGCTCTGTAATTTCACTTGAAATTAATACTGAATATTATTTCAAGGAGAATTTCTGAAATACAAAGCTACTTAGTTTTTGCTTTTTAACTAAATGGTAATTTTGATAGCAAAGAAAAACTGGGTCCAATTTCACTGGCTTTGTTGATGCATGTCTTCAGTCAATTTATTTCATTTCCATTGCATTTTCAGTTTCTAATTTCTGATTTTTCTCTTCCATGCTCTCATTAATTAATCTTGTAGGCTTCTCTTTGTTTGCAAAATCTGATTTCTAAAGTTTTGATCATCACAATTGTTTTTTTGCTCTTCCAGTGAATTTGTAATACATTAAATCTCTTATTTATCCATGTAATTCTCACTTGAACCTCAGTAAGCATTCTGGCTGAAGAACTAGAATTGGCTCAGGGGTGAAAGAATGCCATAGCTTTTCTCTAATTCTCTTCCAGAGCTAAGTTTTACCAGTATTTGAAAACCAAGATGGTATGTATTGCATCTATCATCCAGTTAGAATATAAAACTCATTTAAAACCACACATTTATTTTTGACATAGAGAGAGAGAAAATAATAATTTTGTTTTCAAAAGCAATGAATGAAAGCTTAGAATCTGTTCTTAGGTTCACCCTCATTGGGCTTTTTGGTGCAAAACAGCTAATATACTCCTACCTCATTTTTCTAAGTTTTGTCATTTTTCTCATTTGAACCATGATGTTAGCTAGACTAATTTACTTTAAAAAATTAAAAATAACTTTATTGAGGTATAATTTACTTACAATAAGCATTCTAATTATTTTTATTTGTGGCTGAAGGTTTCCCTCTGACATCATTTTCTTTAACTTTGTTTAGCATTTCTAACAGCATAGGTCTGGTGTACATACATATTTTTTAATTTTTTTTCAGTTTTTCTGAAAATGTCTTCATCACTTCTTTATTCTCAAAAGATATTTTCACTTGTAGAATTCTGAGTTGGCAGTTTTGTTCTTTCACTACTTTAAAGATGTTGTTCCCTGTCTTCTAGCCTTCATGCTATGTGATTGGAGAAAGCTTCTGACCATTCAAGTCTTTCTTCCTGTGTATGTAATGTTGTTTCTTATTCTCTTTTGCTTTTGAAATTTTCTCTTTGCCTTTAGTTTTCAATAATTTGATGTGTCTAGGCTTGGCTTTCTTAACATTTCTGCTGTTTGGGGATTTGGACATCTCGGATTTATATATTCATATATTTACCTAATTTGGTAAAACTAGGTAAATATATAAATTTATATATATATATATTTAATAGTGAGACATGAGTTTTATATATTTATAGACATTATTTCTTTGAATATATATGTTTATATGTGTATATATGTATATACACATATACATATAGTCAAAGATTCAAAGAAATAATGTATATATATGTGTGTATGTATGTATGTGTGTATATATATATATATATATATATATATATATATATATAAAACTCATGTCTCACTATTCTCCTTCTGGGACTCCAATTACCCCTTTGATATTGTCTTACATAATCTTGAGACTTTTAAAATTTATTTTATAATTTTTTTCTGTTTATCAGAATTGATAATTTATTTTGATCTATTATGTACACAGATTCCTTCTCTTGTCATCTTTATTCTGCCATGAAACTGAATTTTAAATTTTCACCTGTTAGATTTTTTTCATTTCTGAAATTTCCACTTGTTTTTATTAGGTTGCCTATTTCTGTGCTATTTTCCATCCATTAGTTCATTATATGAATATTTTCCTTGTTCTCATTGAGCTTAATTATAGTTGCTTTAAGTCTTTGTAACAATTCCAACATCTGGGTTATCTCAGAGTTGGGCTCTGTTGATTGCCTTTCTTTGTGATGTGGTAACATTTTTCTGGTCTGTGAATGTTGAGTAAGTTTGGATTGTATCTTGGACATTTGAGACTCTGTAATCTGCTATAAAATATATTCTAAAAACTGTTAATATTTACTGGCCAGCTTATGCCTGTGAAGAAACAGCCCAAGAGTGAGGAGAGAATTCAGAAAGAATTAGAGGGAACAGTGCCTAATGCCGAGGTAGGGCTTGGAATATTGCTTTGTCCTATCAGCCACAATGGAAAAACCTCATAATACATGAGCAATGAAGAGAGTACTCAAAATGGTCTTGCCTTGTTTTGGGGAAATAATTAGCCCTAGACTGAAACTGTTCTGCTCTCATCTGTCAAATCTTAAAAACAAGATGTATAAAGATCAAACTATTTTCAAATTATTTAATTGTGTCCCAAAGCAAAATATTTATAGAAATACAACATGGCTAGTTCGATAAGGTAAAATTATAACGTCTGGTGTCTAACCAAATATTACTAGACATAAAAAGAAGCAGAAAAATAGGATCCATAGTGAGGAGAAAAACAAATCAATTAAAACCATCCTGGGACTGATACAGGTGTTAAAATTAGCTGACAAGAACATTTTAAATGTTTTATATAATGATATTCCATACAGTTAAAAAATTTAAGTAGAGATATGGAATACATAAAAAAGATTGAAATTAAACTTCTAGAAATAAGAAGTACAATGCCTCATATATGTGTGTGTGTGTGCACATGTGCATGCACAGACACATATACATATATAGGAACCTGAAATAGGATGCAAAAAAAGAAACAAATTACAACAGTCACAAATAAAATAGGAATAAAATTAATCAAGGAGGTTAAGGACATATACCTTGAAAACTCCAAAACACTGATTGAAGAAATTGAAGGGGACACAATTCAATGGAAAGATATTCTGTGTTCATGGATGGGAAGAATTAATATTGTTAAAATATTCATACTACCCCAAGTGGTCTATAGATTCAATGCAATGACATTTTTCATGAAAAGAGAAAGACAATTCTAAAATTTGTATGAAACCACAAAAGACCCCAAATAGCCAAAGCAACCTTGAGCAGAAAGAACAAAGCTGAAAGCATCACCTTACCTTATTTTAACATACACTACAAAGATATGGTAATCAAAACAGCATGCTGCTGGCATAAAAACAGACATATATACCAATGGAACAGAATAGAGAGCCCAGAAATAAACCCACAGGTAACAACCAAATGATTTTCAACAAAGTTGCCAAGAACATACAATGAGAAAAGAACCGTCTCTTTAACAAGTGATGTTGGGAAAACTGGATATCCACATTCAGACTTTTATCTCACACTATATACAAAATTCAACTCAAAATGGGTTAAAGACTTAAATGTAAAACTTGTGAATATAAAATTACTAAAAAAATAGTAAAAAGAGCATTGTGATACTGATCTAGGGAATGATTTTTTGGATATGATCCCAAGCAAAATAGACAAGAGCAAAATAGACAAATAGCAAAATAGACAAGAGCAAAAATAGACAAATGAGATTGCATCAAATTATTAAGTTTCTGTAGAACCAAGGCAACAATCAACAGAGTGAAGAGACAATCAACTAAATGAGATAAACTATCTGCAAATCATACATCTGATAAGGGGTTAGTATTTAAAATATATAAGAAAGTCAACTCAATAGCAGGAAAACACATAACCTGATTTAAAAATGGGCAAAGGACCTGGCTAGATATTTTTTCAAAGATGACATGCAAATGGCTAACACATAGATGAAAAAACTCTCAGTATCATTAATTATCACAGAAATGCAAATGAAAACCACAAGATATCACTTCACACCTGTAAGAATGGCTATTATCAAAAAGATGAAAAATCACAGGTGTTGGCAAAGATGTGGAGAACAGGAAACCATTGTATCCTGTTGGTGGGAACGTAAATTAGCGTAGGCATTACAGAAAACATAATTTCAAAAATTATATTTAAATTAGTTTTTAAAATTTGATTAAAAAATTAAAACTAGAACTATGATATGATCCAGCAACCCCACAACTGTGCAAATATCCAAATATCCAAAGGAAATGAAATCAGTATGTGGAAGAGATATTTGCATTCCGACGTTCCTAGCATTATTCACAATAGCCAAGATCTGGAATCAACCTAAGTGTCCAGCAAATAAATGGAGAAAGAAAGTGTTTATATATACACACACACACACGCGCGCGCGCACAATGGAATACTATTCAGGCATAAAAAAGAAAATCATGTCACTTGTGACAATATGGATGAACCTTATACCATATACAAAGGACATTATGTTAAGTAAATAACCCAGACAGAGAAAGACAAATGCTGCATAATCTCATTCATATGTGGAATTTTTAAAAGTTGAACTCATAGAACTAGATAATAGAGTGGTGGTTCCTAGGGACTGAGGGTTGGAGGTGGGATTTGGGCAGATGTTGGTCAAAGTATTTACAATTTCAGTTAGATAGGATGAATAAATTCAAGAAATCTATTGTACATGTTGAGTATATTAATAACAATATATTATATTCTTGAAAATAGCTAAGACAGTAGATTTTAAGTGTTCTCACTACAAAACGTAAGTTTATGAGCTAATGCATATGTTAATTAGCTCAATTTACCTGATACTTGAGGATGTGCCCTGTATCGAGGGAATATCACTATTGTGGCACTTAAGAAATACTAAACTTAGCTCACTGAAGTCACAATTATAGATATTTCAACAGCTAAAATTTTTTAATGCCACGGAAATACGTAGACATCCCATGAGTTGTCTCCAGCAAAAGAATAGCTCTCACTTCTTGGGTAAGTTGATCCAAGATAGAGTATCTATTGCTCTACAGACATCTTTCTTGTAATGTCTCTAGTTTAAGCACCATTGTTACTACCGAGTACTGGACATGTATCTTGAGTACATCAGAGAATGTGCTCAAAACATTCTTGCCATTGGTTTGCCAGTGGACAGCTACTATTGACACAGGCACCAATTGTGGTCCATTAGTTGAGATCATACGTTATAATGTGAAATCCCAAATTAGAAAGCATAGTCACCTACAGAAAAGAAACTAATGTGACTGATTTTCTCAGCTGCAGGTTGGGGCCTGGCAAGCATTTAATCTTCATTAAATACGGAAGTACAGTTGTTTACCTTCATGGCTAATTTAGTAAGAGGAGGAAAGCTAATAAACTTTTGAGGTTCATGGATATTTAGGGCTTAATATAAAGTGGCTTTATCTATGAGACCATTTTTCTGTGTTTGAATCTTGACTACAATTTATTAGCCATATGATCTTGGTTAAACTATTTTACCTCTTTACTTATAAAATAGGTCTAATGCTATCTATCTTAGAGAGTTATGAGGATTGAATGAGTTAATAGATAAATGTACTTAGAAGAATGCTTGATTCACGGTTAGCATTTAATAAATATTAACTATTATTATTGCTGTTGTTATTATTATCACCAGATAAGCTTAGGAAATGTTTTGAAATTTCCCTACAACCAATACATAACTGCTGATTTTTCACAAATTGTAAAGTTTATAAAAATAAATCTCAATATTTAATGTACATGTATATATTCCACACATATATTTTAGTATTTATTTCTACATCTATGACTTTATTTATCTTTACTTTCCTTTTCCCAGTATTATTTTTGAAGGTCTTTGAAACAAGGAAGATACTATGTTTTATAAGTACATCCAAAGCATTCAAAACATAGGTGTTCAATACATAGTTGTTGAATAAAATTGTATTCAATTGAAGAGGAGAAGAAAAACTGTTTTGAGTCATTTCTCCCCCCGCTATAGAGCCAGCTGAGCTACGGAGCACAGAATATGAACTTGGAAACAGAAGTTCTGGTTTTGGGCCTTTTGTTTATGACCTCTGTGTCACCGTGACCATCATTTAATAGCTTTGAGCTCCAGTTTCCTCATCTTTACAGTGGGCAACTAATACCCTTTAGATTCATAATAAGAATTAAATTAAAAGTAAATAAAGCCACCCACATGTTAGATATGATTATTTTTATTTTGTTACCACCTATTATTCTTTCTTTTGCTTTCCAATTTTCTGGGAGATGTAAACTTTTAAATACTTTTCTATTTCCAGGGCCAAGTAAGTAACCTCTCAGTCAGAGTACTTTCTTCTCTTCTGTTGCCTGCTCAGTCAGTTTCCTACTACTTCCTGGACTTAACCTTCCAAACATGACTCAGTGCAGATGAGATCAACCATATCTATATCTTACGTTTCCCCCCTTACTTAATTTTATATCTTCCTTTTTGAAAACAACACAAACCCAAAGAGACATGATCAATAATTCTGCCATTATTACTTTATGTAGATCCTGCCTTACCTCTTCCATAGTCCTTCCTTGTCCAGCCTGGGTCAGTTCTACCTCATTTCATTTCAATCTGGATACTACATGTGGAATGAGTGACATCTGGCCCCATTACAAAAAGAACAAATAAACTGTATCTAGCCAGTTACAAATGCCACACAAAAGAACAAGATCTTTCTCAGGCAATGCTTTTTTGTTATTCTAATGTGGTTTTTATTGCACATTATTTTTCTTAATTGTAATTTATTTGAGCCTTTCCTACTATGAAAAGATCAACTATCATGACCTGCATTTTTTTCTTAACACTGAAGCATGAGGGAAAACTCAGGGATGCCAGACTTCTGCATTGAAACTTGGAACAAAAACACACACACATGCAAAAACTAATTTACTCTTCTTATATATTGTAAATCACTTCTTTGTTTTGGAACACAGTGCTTTTTCATTATTCATTTTGAAACTGATTCATATAATTGTTGCTATCCTGACATTACCTGATAATTATTTTGTCCATGTATTTTAAAATACTGTCAACTTGCTTGTAGGCTCGTCTGAAAGTTTGCAGGCCAAACAGAATAGCTGGCCCTGCAAACTCTTAGGCAGTGGACCTAGTGAATTTCTTACACCAGTAGTTCTGACTGGGAAAGATGCTCCCCACCTCTTTTTTTTTTTAATACCTTGAGAGACTACTTGCAACTCCTAGACCTAAGTGCACACTGAATTTATGGCAACCAGAAGTCTCATCCTAAAGGGTCAATAACCTTCCTGGAAACTTACGGCAAATGATTTCCTGGACCTTTCTTTATTTTAGGAAGTAACTCAATTTAGAGTTCCCTAGTAAGGTGCATACTGATTAGGGTAGAGGAATGGAATCTTATCCTGGATAAAAGTCAGGTGGATCAATGAATGTCATCCCCTGATTTAGTTTTAGAAATAAAATAAATAATGTATTTGACATTGTGTAAACATAGCAATGATATGTTTCTAAACATCAAGGCCAGCATTAAGCAGAACTTTGCATTCTTAAGTTTTTAATCAATAAATGTTTTTGAAAAGATGTCAAATTCTTGATAACTAGGCTTCATTTTAAGTCAGTAAATATATTGTGAGGCTATATAAAATTTCAGTAGGTTTTCCCCAGATTTCATCACTTGCCCTAGGGTGTAAGGTTTACTCTCTATGAGCTTGAATACTGAAATTGGATTTTTAAGTTGGTATATAGTCTATGAAGAAAGGGTTAATTACTTTTTAAAATATCTTTTCAAGTAACAAGTTGAAGAAAATATCTTTAAGTGATTTTTAAAAAACAATTTTATTTGTGTAAATGTCTTGGGTACTAGTGTAATTTTGTTACATGGTTAGATTGTGTAGTGGTGAAGTCAGGGCTTTTAGGGTATCCATCACCCAAACAATCTACAGTGTACCCACTAGGATATTCATATATGACATTTTATAAACATCCTAGAAATAGAACTCTTTCCCTTGAAAGAGTTTTGAAAAATGTTTATTTGTGTTTTTTTCTGAAAATCATAATATACATTTTTTGCACCATAGCAACTGATTTTACAAATTTTTATTTTAGAGATGGAGTCTCATTCTGTCACCCAGGCTAGACTACAGTGGTGCATTGATAGCTCAGGGCAGGCTTGAACTTCTGGGCTGAAGCGATCCTCCTGCCTCAGCCTCCTGAGTAGCTACAACTACAGGCAGGCACCACTACACCAAGCTAATTAAAAAAAATTTATTCAGAGAGGGTCTGGCTATGTTGCCCAGGCTGGTCTTGAACTTCTGGACTCAAGCAGCCCTCCCACTTCGGCCTCCCAAACCTTTGGGATTAAAGGCATGTGCAGTTACACCTGGCCTGAGTTGAAAATTTCAATACAGACTCAAATAAAAGCTTTTCAGTAGCCTGATGTGTCAAAAGGGGACTTAAATGAATTGTTCAGTGATTAACTTAAGTGGCATTTGAAGGAGGACTTTTAACTTTGATTGCCTCTGCATTCAGTCAAAATGACCTGATCAGCTTATGTGACATTCTGCCTTTCAGATCTCCTCACCTGCTATCACTGTTATTAGATACTTTACCCCGAATATCCTCCCATCTCATAGTGGCAAGGCAAGGCCTCACCAGAGATGCTATCTTTTGAACTGTGTATTTTTTTGCAAAAGAAACTTTGAAGAATACTTTAGTAAAAAGCATTTAGTGATTTTTAAATGTATTTTAAGACAGTCTTAGAAATTCTGGAAGATGATAGAATTCAGATTCAGATATGTGGGGATTTGTAGATCAGTTTACAATGATGTATTTTTGTGGTGATTTCTGAGATCAGAGCTGGGTATAGACCAGATTCTCAAGATGAAGCTGTGAACTGAATCAACATCTAGTATCTAGGGGATTGTCAATTACCTTTCAGTCAAGCACTCTTGGATAATTGCAAAGTAAATACATCACCTGGTACCCCCATATGCTCAGGGTCCCCTAGCTCAGAGTTGATGCCATTCTTTCTAATGAGGCTTGAGCTTTTTACCAATTAATTGTATAGCAATCCTTTTTAAGATACTGAAGGCAACGGCATCTTTTGAAACCTTATCTGAGAGACAGTTATTTTATGAAGAGACCATGGCATTCATATCACACTAGCTTCTAGTTATTGCCAGGAACATTGGAAAGATATGTGGAAGCCTTTACTAAATATAAAGTTTCATAAAAATACAAAATACAAGGGTCTATTGTTATAATTTGACAGGCTGTAGTTAATATTTAATTTCAGTCACTTATGGAAGCATGGAAGCCACCTGCCTGGTATGGAGCCCATGAGCTATTATCTACTTGGATCTGTCCCAAGGCTAGGCCTGCAAGGCAGGAAGAAAGGAGGGAATAGACACTGCTCTGGCTGAAGGGTAGCAGCACAGCCTCTCTCCCACCCTATGACTGAATGTGCTGCCACGCAGGACGTACCCAGATGCATTGTGCTCTTTATTTATTTACTGGTTGATGAATTTGTAGCTAAACAATTCCTTCTTTTTAAAATAAACTTTAAATTTTTTTAAACTTTCCATTACTCTGCCAAGATCCCCCGTTGTCATTTTTTTTTCTATAAACCCATAATGTATTTGTAACAGCTGTTTTAAAGTTCTTATCTGCTAATAAAAACAGCTGGGCCACTTATGGGGTAGCTTCTGTTGGTATTCCTTTTCTCTTGATTATGGGTCAGATTTTCCTGCTTCTTTGTCCTGTATTATTTGACTGTATATGGGACACGATGATTGACATGTTGTAGAAACTCTGCATTTTGTTTCTTCCTCTAAAGTTGTTGCGTTTTGTTCTTTTGGGCTGTTAAATTATTGACTAAACATCTTGACCTGTGGATAGATGGTTTTAGGCTGGTGTAGTGTGGGCTGCTTTTTGTTCTGTCCTTAGTCCTAGAGAGCATAGTCCTTAGTACTGGCCTTGTTTCTAAGGTGTGGTCCTTCTTGGGTTTTGTTGGAAAGCCTGATGTCTTCATCAGGCTCCTCTAACTTGATAAGACTTAAAAGCCAAACTATGCATCCCCTGAACTAGGTGGCTGGTAAAATTCCTGCCTTTCAGCTGCTGCTTTCTTCTAAGTCATGGGTCATATTCTTATACATGAACAGTTTACTAGTCAACCAACAATTTGAATAAAATTTTAATGCTGATTTTGTTCTTCCTTTTCTGTGAATTTCTCCTTTCTAGGATTTTTCTGACAACCCAATGTATTTTTTAGTAGCCCACTAAGGCTACCTCTTTGCATCTGAGATGTATTTCACTAGACTCCTTAGCAAATTAGGACAGGCCCTCCGGGGAACAGTGATTAAAGGTGGCAGTCATCTAGTTTGCTTCCCTTCTTTCACATAGCATATCCTCTTTTGTATATGCCTTCTTTTGTTTTATTTCAGTGCATTCAAACTTTTTTTTTAGAAAATATTTTGCCCAGAGTTTATATTAATTATCAGTGGGAGAGTTAGTCTGAAATAAGCTATTCTGTCATTACCATAACAGAATTACATTATACATACACTTGCACAAAGTAAACAGATGCATGTAAGCACTATCCACACAGCACTTTTTAAAAAAAATTATATTAGCTAACATTCATTAAGTGCTTACTTTGTGCTAGATAGTGTGTATGGAGCTTTACTATTACTGAATTATATTTTTAAAAATTAGCACACATTTACAGTAGAAAAACAAGTAAAAAGCATCTCTATGTATCAGTCAAGCAGCTTTAATAATTAGTAACACATAGCTGAACTTGCCTGCACTCACTTCTGTCCCATTATATTATTTTTAAGGAAATTCAAGACTACATATCATTTTATTTGCAAATACTTCAGTACGAGACTCTAAAAGAAAAGTGATTCTGTTTAATTTATTTTTAACTTAAGCAAAATAGTATCAGGCTGAAAAATAACAGTAATTCTTTAGTGTTATCCATATTCAATATTTAATTTTCCCTAATTTTCTGTTCTTTTGACAGTATTTCCCCCTCCACATCTCACAGTCTGATCCATAGGTTATCTTTCCCTTTTATTTTCCTTATAAGTTATTTGTTGAAGAAACTTGCTTGTTCATATCATAGCTATTCCCACATTTTGGATTTTGCTGATAGCATTCTAAGTGGCAGGTAACATTTCTCTGTCCTTGCGTATCTTGTAAACTGATAGAAAGGCATAGGGGGTGAGCAGATTCAGGTTAACTTTTCAGCACACTATTTCATGTTATGTGCTTTCCTTTGCATCACATCAGGAGGCCCATACTGTCTCATTGTCTCTAGCTTGTGATATTAAGATTGATAAGTAGGATCAGGTGTTTTCAGCCCGATTCATATATTGTAGAGCCTCTCAACGGCTTTTGATCCAATTGTTTCAGCAACCGTTAACAGTCATTGCCTAGGGGTTACTTAATTCATCCATGCTTCATTTATTCTTTGTTCATTTATTGAACATATGTATATTCCAAACACTGCTAAGCACCAGTGGCACAAAGAAGTACAAATCGCCCCTGCATATGAGCACCTTACATGTGTCTATTGGCCCATGCTATAGCCATGTCTGTACATGACGCTAAACTTCTTTTATAGCCACAGACTTTTTGAGAATAAGAAATAATACACAATATTTTAGTCATTTGGGATTAGGAATTAGGTTTAAATTTCTATAAAGATATCATTATTCAGTATTAGATGAACTGGGTTTGAGTCCTGATTAGAGGACACTGAATCATCCATAGATTGTGGGACTAGAATTGCAACCAACAATTTTGCCTGAATTATCTTGTGATGAAATAATGCGATGTACACAATCCATTTGGTATTCATATTACACTTTCTACTACCACAAGTCTGTTCTCAATTTGGCATATGCTTAGCTTATAGAGAAGTTTTTATTTTAGTTGCTTTTACATGGATTATTTATTGAACATATTTTCTTTATTATTTATTCTAAAATCTTTTCAAAATTTACTATACACAATTTAGGCATTTAAAAAATATTTTAACTTTTATTTTGGGTTCAGGGATACATGTGCAGGTTTGTTATATGGGTAAACTTGTGGCTTGGGGGTTTGGCATACAGATTATTTCGTTACTTGAGTACTAAGCATTTATGCATTGTAAATATAAACTTTTGTTTGGTTAATGTGACTAGTACAAATTATTCACAAATATCTTCTTGAAGCTCATTTTGACTTTCTGAGATTTAACATTTATATTAAAGGTTGAATCAAGGGTCACATAGAACAATAAGTGTTCTAGGAAGCCACAATTTGTATACCTCTTTGAATACCTTATAGGACTTTGCATGCAGATTTCAGCAGATGCATGTAGTCTCCACTGTTTATCTGGCAAGGTCCTGGGTACACTGATGAATGATAGAAAAAATTTCTGTCTCTTCGTGGAACATGCATTCCGGTGCCTCTCTCTGTCACTGTGTTTATTGCAAGTTGAAATTCTCTTCTCTTCCCTAAAGTTGAATTTCTTCTCTTCCCTAAAGCTCCAGATATTCTCTGATATCATGATATACTAATGATAAATAATTTTTGTAATACACTTTATAATACACAAAAAGGGAAAATTGAAATTAATCTGCACAGAGTTATAGAAACATGAACCAGTTAACACGGTATATTTGGAAACTTTAAACTCCTTAGTACATCTAGATTGCATCATAGGCTTGGCCTGGTGGCAAGAAGTGAATTTGAAGTCATAGAAGACCTTGACTGTTTCTCAAAAGACTTTGGAGACAAAAATAATTTGAGCCCTTTTATAAACAATATAAAGACTTTATATTCTCTTTCACAGAAGACCTTGACTGTTTCTCAAAAGACATTGGAGACAAAAATAATTTGAGCCCTTTTATAAAAAAAATAAAGACCTTATATTATTTTTCTATTCCAAAATGACTAGCTGCTAGTGTGGTGTGCAGGACAGTGCATTGTCTTTACTCTGAGAAGGCCAGTCTCCAACCCAGCCCATGACATGTGGCTGCTACCATGTCAGGCACTTCCCTAGATCTTGCTGCATCCAAGATGGTGCTCTCCAGCCCCAACCCAGACTACACAGCCAGGTGCTGGAACTCTTGGGATTTGCCCTCCACTCAGCTCAAGCTTCTCTCATGGCCGAGAGAACAATGAAGGTGTGTTACTTTGGTCAAGGCAATCAGGCTTCCTGATGCTCAGTTTGGTTATCACCGAAGAGAACATAAGAAATATATGTGGATTATTTCCGCCCACAGGGTTCTGGTGGATCTCCACTGCTCCATCCCCTCTGCTTGGTGAGGACAGGTGGCTCTGCCATAGCTCTGTTGCTTGGTGACCTGCAGGTGCCAGAAGATCCATAAGGAGAATTCCAGGAAATGGAGTTTTATCAATTTATATTAAAATACTGACCAAGAGACTGGACCATCAAGAAGATTGGCACACGTTGAGCAGGTCTTCATAACTAAGTCCTTGAGAGCTGACAGAGAGAGGATGCAGACCCTGGGCCAAAGAGGGAGGAAACTGGGGATCCTATATGGGGCTGCTGAGTACAAGGACTCATTCCCAGCCCCCAGTGCCTCTTAGGGAAAGACTGAGTTGAATAGGGGAGGAATGGCCCACTCTTACCGCAGACTTCTGAAATCCTCACTGCAGGAGACCCCACGACCCCCATGGACATTTGGGCTCGCAGGAAAAACTGCTTGGAGAAGTGGCAGGAACTGGACTCTAGCCTGTGTGGAGCCCAGAGAGTTTGATGTGGGAATGGCTGCAATGTAGCACAGCTATGTATGCCCATCTACCAAGGCCTGCCATGCTCCTCCAGGTGGTTTTGGCCTTTCTTATCCAGTAGACCTGGACAGAGCAGGGCTGTCTTGCCTTGGGATGGGGCCAGTCTGATCTGAGTGCCCTGCTGTCTGCCGGCCCCTTCCAGGGTCCCTTTCTGGCTGCGTGGCCTTGGATGCCCAACCAGGCCACATCCCAGCAGCTGCCGTCATTGTTCTGTCACTGGCAGACCCCAATTTACCATCAGAGAGCTCCAGCAGACAGACCTCATCACCGCACACCCACTCACAGCCTCCATCACCACTTTGCTCACATGAACTCACCTGTGGCCTCCCCCTACCACTTTGCTGGCATGCACATGCCTGGACTTTGCTGCCTCACTGTCAGTGGAATGTACATGTGCACAAACCCTACTGCCCTGCTGCCAGTGGTGTAAGTGTGTGCACAGATCCTGCCATGCCACTGCCTGGCTGCTGCTGGCACATGCACATAAGCATTGACCCCCTGCTGCCAAGGCCCAGTGAAGTGCTTTGCTGGCATTCCCTACTAGAGTGTTGTTGCCAATTGATCAGGAATATCTCAGTCTCTCCACTGCAGCAGCTGCTTAACCTTGAGGGACAAGAGAACAAAGCTGTGGGCCTGGACCCAGCCCCCTAGCATGCAGCCCAGGAGTTACAGCATGCAGCCCGGGAGTACTGAGCTGAGTCTGGGCCCCCCAATATCATCCAGAAATGAAGCCAGTAGACTGAAACTAAAATCAAACCCCAATGGCATAAAATAATATAAAAGCAAAGATCCCCTTCCAGAGGACAACAACTTCAAAGATTAAAGAAATATCAGTTTACACAGATGAGAAAGAACCAGGGCAAGAAATCTGGCAACTCAAAAAGCCAGTGTCTTCTTTCCTCTAAACAACTGCACTAGCACCCCAGTAATGGTTATTAACCAGGCTGAAATGGTTGAAATGATATATTTAGAATTCAGAATTTGGATGGCAACGAAAATCATCGAGATTCAGGAGAAAGTTGAAACCCAATCCAAGGGATTTGAGGAATCCAGTAAAATGATACAAGAGGTGAAAGATGAAATAGCCATTTTAGGAAAGAACCTAACTAAACTGATATAGCTGAAAAACTCACTACAAGAATTTCATAATACGACTCTGGAAGTATTAACAGCAGAACAGGCCAAGCTGAGGAAAGCATCTCAGAGCTTGAAGATGGGTTCTTTGAATCAACTCAGTCAGACAAAAATGAAGAAAGAAAAGTAAGAATGAACAAAATCTCCAAGAAATATGAGATTATGTAGAGAGACTGATTAAACTTGTAACTTATTGTCATCCCTGAAAGAGAGGGAAAGAAAACAAGCAACTTTGAAAATATATTTGAGGATGTTGTCCTTGGAAACTTCCCCAATCTCACTGGAGAGGTCAACATTCAAATTGAGGGAATTCAGAGAACCCCAGCATGATACTTACAAGATGACCATTCCCAATACACATAATTATCAGATTCTCCAAGGTCAACATAAAAGAATAAACATTAAAGGCAGCTAGAGGGAAGGGGCAGGCCACCTACAAAGGGAACCTCATCAGACTAACAGTGGACCTTTCAGCAGAAACTTTACAAGCCAGAAGGGAATGGGGGCCCATATTCAGCATTCTTAAAGAAAATAAATTCCAACCAAGAATTTCATATCCAGCCAAACTAAGCTTAATAAGTGAAGGAGAAATAAAATCCTTTTCAGACAAGCAAATGCTAAGGGAATTTGTCACTACCAGACCTGCCTAACAAGAGGTCCTTAAGGGAATGCTAAACATGGAAACAAAAGACCATTACTGGCCACCACAAAACACTCTTATGTATATAGACCATTGACACTAAAGCAACTACCTAATCAAGTCTGCATAAACACTAGCTAACAATGTGATGACAGGATAAAATTTGAACATATCCATATTAACCTTGAATGTAAATAAGCTTAACACTCCACTTAAAAGGCAAGGAGTGGAGCGGAGTGGAAAGTTGTATAAAGAAGAAACACCCAACTGTATGTTGTCTTCAAGAGATCCATTTCACATGCAATGATGCTCATAGGCTCAAAGTAAAGGGATGGAAAAAAATCTACCAAGCAAATGGTAAACAAAAAAGCAGGGGTTGCTCTTTTAATTTCAGGCAAAAGAGACTTTAAACCTTTTGAAAACAACAGTGATAATAAAAGACAAAGAGGGAGTCTTAGAGACCTGCAAAGAGATTTAGATAACCACACAATAATAGTGGGAGACTTCAACAGCCCACTGACAATATTAATACTAAAACAGTATTAACACGAATACCAAGACAGTATTAATACAAATACCAAGTATTAATCATACTAAGAATCATTGAGGCAGAACACTAACAAAGATATTTGGGACCTAAACTTGACATTTGATGAAATGGACTTAACAGACATCTACAGAACACTCCACCCAACAACAACAGAATATACATTCTTCTCGTTTACATATGGCACATACTCTAAAATTAACTACATAGTAAACCACAAAGCAATACTCAACAAATTTAAAAAAAAATCATACCAATGACACTCTTGCACTGCAGGGCAATAAAAATAGACATTAATACTAAGAAAGTCTCTCAAAACCATACAACTACATGGACGTTAAACAATCTGCTCCTGAATGACTTCTAGGTAAACAATGAAATTAAGACAGAAATGAAGAAATTCTTTAAAAATAATGAAAACAAATATACAACCTACCAGAATCTCTGGGACACAGCTAAAACAGTTTCAAGAGGAAAGTTTAGAGTGCTAAATATCAATCATTAGACACAATAGGGTTATAGCCAACAATACTTTTAGGAGCCCACAAGAAATTTTAAACTTTTTTAAAACCAGAAGAAAAAATAAGCTTTTAGGTTGAAATAATTATTTTAATACATTCATCTTTATATCAAGATAGACACAAAATATTATTTTGTCACAATAAAGATGTATATTGATATTTTCACAGAGAAAGAGACTCACAAAGGTAAAAGTACCAAGGGCCCACAAAAGCAATAATGCTGCCATGCTTTGGTATTATGACAGATTCTGTAACTGTTAGCACCAAGGCCATTTACAGCCACCTTTTCCCTGATTTCCTCTACTAGAAATGCTGGAAAACTAGAAGATTCATCTTTCCAGATTGCAGTTAGGAATGGCATATATCCTGGCCGGGTGCAGTGGCTCACACCTGTAATCCCAGCAATTTGGGAGGCCGAGGTGGGTGGATCACCTGAGGTCGGGAGTTTGAGACCAGCCTGACCAACATGGAGAAACCCCGTCTCTACTAAAAATACAAAAAATTAGCTGGGCGTGGTGGTGCATGCCTGTAATCCCAGCTCCTCGGGAGGCTGAGGCAGGAGAGTCGTTTGAACCTGGGAAGCAGAGGTTGCAGTGAGCCGAGATTGTGTCATTACACTCCAGCCTGGGCAGCAAAAGCGAAACTCCATCTCAAAACAAACAAACAAGCAAACAAACAAACAGAATGGCATATATCCAGTTCCAGCTAGTAAGACAGAAAAACAACTCACTAAGTAGCACCTCTGAAAAACCATTTTACAAGTGATTAAAATGTTCCCTTTGCTTAGGAAAATAGCTGACCCATGGTAAGCACGCTATAAATAATAGTAATAATAATAATAGCAATAATAATTTTGACCACAAAAAGATCATAACGTAGAACAAAATGATGACTGCTGATATTAATTTCCCATTTCCTACTTATTCCCTGGTTTAAAAAGTATTGGCTAGAATGGAAACTATAATGGTCAGATAAATCTAGATGATAGCATGCCCTAGAAGCTAGCAGAAAGTGCCAATGGTAACTTGTCACATTGCAAGCCCCCAAGTGAATGGTTGGTCCCTCTCAGAGGTAGGTGTTTCATGGCAAGGATTAAAGCTATTAATTATAGGATATTTGGACAGTGGTGAAACCCAGAGGACTGAATTATGTGATGGTTTACAGATTTTTCAAATTGTTGCTGTTCAGAATTTATGTGGGTGTTTGTGATATATGCTATCCAATCTTTCTCAATTTTGTGTGGTGAGGGGGCCTGGCTACTGATGCTGTTAAAGTGGTTAGTGGCAGTGGAATATATCATCTAGCTCTAGTCCACAAAATCTAAAATTCCTTAAAATGTTTTTGATTGGCTGCGCAATGCCTATATGATTTCATCCTTTCCCAACTTCTTCTCCCACTTTCCAATCCTCTTTCTTTTTTATCTAGACTACACTTTTCACTTTACTCCAATGTCCAAAGCATTTGTGATTCCCATTACTTACATAAGGACTCTGACATCCTCAATTTATAATTCAGATATTTCCACAATTAAGTCCCAGTCTAATTCTATCTTTCATTTTGCCTTTACATGTGTTTCCTCTGCAACTTCTGAAAGAACCATGAGTGCACCTGCTATGTCATGCTGTTTGAAATCTCCTTCTCAAATACTTAATTTCCATTTATGTCTTACTGATTATTTTGGGTTCAATTTGAGTCACTTCTCCACTCTTGAAATATTCTCAGGCTACAGTGGTTTTTTTCCTTTTTTGAACTATTTTGGCTTTCCCCCTAATTTTATGATCTATATAACCTCACCTAAGAAGCTAATGCATATACGCTTCTTAACATAGTATAGGAAAGGAAAGAAAAAAAAGGAACTGCCTTAAAATGTCATGAAATTTTGAATATGTATATTTTGAATCTCTTTAGTGAGAATATAAATTTTTTTAAAGAGGTTTTATTATCTCGTTTTTCTCCTGTACCTCATAGTGCACAATACTGTGGGATACATATTTGCTAGATAACACATGAACACTCAAGGATAGTGGTTATTCACATGGTTTTCTGGGATCTCTTGAGAATACTTCTGAGAGATCTGAAAGTTCAAAATTATTTTCATAATAATGCTGAAATATCAATGCCCTTCATACTTATAACAAGTGTATTATTGTGGAGTTTTTCCAGAGGCTACATAACCAGAGATGTTGTAGAAGATTAAAGGTATAAGCAAATATGAGAAGCTCATTGTCTTCTTTCTATTAGCTAAACATTTAAGAGATTGGTAAAAATGGAAAATACTACTTTCTCCCTAAATTTTTGGTTTTAAATAAAATATGTCATTAATAGTGAACAGGTAATGGTTTATTATGGTTATTTTAAAATGAGTAAGTAAATATTGTTTAATTTTTCAATTTAATCAATATAAATTATAGTAAATATTGGCAGATATAATCCATATCCATAAAAGTTCTTCAGAGACCCTTGTCATTTCTTTTCGAAAAACTTTTGAAATCAATCTTTCTACATCCTTTCCTCCTTTGTATCCTTCCCCTACATATGAGTGAGAACATTCAATATTTGTCTTTCTGTGCTTGGCTTATTATCACTTAACAAAATAAGCTCAGAATTTAATTCTTTCTTATGGCTAAAATAGTATTTCACTGTGCATGTACCACATTTTCTTTATCCATTTGCCTGTTGTTGATGAACAGTTAGGTAGATTCCATATCTTGGATATTATGAACAGTGCTGCAATAAATATGGGAGTGCAGATATCTCTGCAATTTTTTGATTTATTTTCTTTTGGATATAAACCCAGGATCGGAATAGCTGGATCATATGGCAGTTCTGTTTATAGTTTTTTGAAGAATCTCCATACTGTTCTCCACAGTGACTGTATTAATTTACATCCCCTCCAACAGCATATGAAGATTCTCCTTTCTCCATATCCTGACTAGCTTCTGTTATTTCCTTTCTTTTCGATCAAAGTTATTCTGAATGGGGTGAGATGGTATCTCATTGTGGTTTCAATTTGCATTTCTTTGATGATTGGTGATTTGGGGCATTTTTTCATATACTTGTTAGCCATTTGTCTTCTTTTGAGCAACATCTATTCAGATTTTTTGCCCATTTTAAAATTAAATAATTACTTTTTTTGTTATTGAGTTGAGTTCCTGATATATTCTAGTTATTAATCAATTTTCAGATGGATACTTTGCAAATTTTATTTCACATTGTGTGCGTTCTCTCTTCACTTTGTTTATTGTTTCCTTCTGCTATGCAGAAGCTTTTAGCTTGATGTAATCCCATTTGTCTATTTTTGCTTTGGTTGCCTGTGCTTTTGAGGTCTTACACAAAATAATTCACCCAGACCAATGTCCACTAGCATTGTTTTCATCTAGTAGTTTCATAGTTTCAGATCTTAGATTTCAGTCTTTAATCCATTTTGATTTGATTTTTTTGTATGTGGTGAGAGATAGGGGTCTAGTTTCATTCTTCTGAGTATGGATATACAGATTTCCCAACACAATTTATTAAAGCTACTGTCTTTTCCTTGATGTATGTTTGTGATGTCTTCATAAAAAATGAGTTAGCTGTAAATGCATGGAATTATATTTGGGCCCTCTATTCTGTTCCATTGTTTCTGATTTTATGCCAGTCCACGTTTCTGATTTTGTGCCAGTAGCATGCTAATTTGGTTACCATAGCTTAGTAGTGTATTTTATAAAATAAAGTCAGGTAGTGTGATGTTCTTTTGTTCTTTTTGCTTAGGATTACTGCGGCTACATGGGGTCTTTTGTAGTTTCATATAAATTTTAGTTTATCTATTTCTGTGAAGAGTGTTATTTGTATTTTGATAGGGATTACATAGAATCTGCAATTGTTTTGGGTAGAATTGTTGTTTTAGCAATATTAGTTCTTCCATTTCATAAGCTGGGCATATCTTTCCATTTTTTTGTGTTTTTTTCAATTTCTTTTATCAGTATTCTATAGTTTTCCAAGAGGAAAAACTTATTTATAAAAATAAATCTTTCATCTCCAGTTAAATTGATTCCTGGGTATTATATATTTTTGTATCTATTGTAATTAAGATTGCTTGCATTATTTCTTTTGTGGATTATTTGCTGTTGGTGTATATAAATGTCAGTGATTTTTGTTTGTTGATTATTTTATCCTGAAACTTTACTAAATTCATTGGTCAGTTCTAACAATTTCTTGGTGGAGTCTTCAGATTTTTCCAAATGTAAGATCATGCCACCTGTATGCAAGGCTAATTTGAATTCTTCTCTTTCTGACTTGGATGCCCCTCCCCACTTTTTAATTGTTCTGTCCCAAACTTCTGGTATTATGTTGAATAAAAGTGGTGAAAGTCGGTAGGCATCCTTGTCTTATTCGAGATCTTAGAGATAAGGCTTTCAATATTTCCCCATTCAGTATGATGCTGGATGTGGGTTTGTCACATATATGGCCTTTATTATTTTAAGATATATTTCTTCTATACTATATTTTACATATGTATTTATATATACATACATGTACACACTATATATGCTATATCTATATTATTTTAGGGTATTTGCTGCAAAAGTAATTGTGGTTTCTACTATTAAAGGTAACTAAAGGTAAGTAATTGCAAAACTGCAATTACTTTTGCACAGAAGAATATATTCCTTCTAAGGTATATTCCTTTGTTGAGGGTTTTTATCATAAAGCAGGGAGCTAAATTTTATCAAATGCTTTCTCAGCATTCTACAGAAATGATCATATGGTTTTTGTTCTTTGTTCTTTTAATGCAATGTGTCATATTTATTGATTTGCCTATGTTGAAACATCCTTGCATCCCTGGGATGAATCCTATTTGATCATATTGAAAGACCTTTTTAATGTATTTCTGAATTCAGTTAGCTAGTAGTTTATTGAGGACTTTTGCATCTGTGTTCATCAGTGATATTGGCCTGTATTTTTCTTTTTGTTGTGTCTTTGTCTGGTTTTGGTATCAGGGTAATGCTGGCCTCACAGAATGAGTCTGAAAGTATTCATTCCTCCTCACTTTTTTTTTTTTTTTTGAAGAGTTTGAGTAGAATTGATATTAGTTATCCTTTAAACATTTGGTAGAATTCAGCAGTGAAGACAACAAGTCCTGGGATTTTCTTTGATGGGTGACATTTTCTTATGACTTCAATTTATTGATTTGTTGAGGTTTTCTATTTCTTCATGGTTTAGTTTTGGTAGTTTATATGTGTCCAGGAATACATTCAATTCTTCTAGGTTTTTCAACGTATTGGTATACTGTTTTTCATAATAGTCTGTAATAATTCTTTATATTTCTATAATCTCAGTGGTTATGTCCCCTTTTAATTTCTAATTTTATTTATTTGGGTCTTCTCTTTTATTCTTAGCTGAGCTAAAGTTTTGCCTATTTTTTTTCCAAAAATCTATGTGTTTCATCCATCTTCTGTTTCTTTGATCTAACTTTTTGTTTCATTGATTTTGTTTTTTTTTAGTTGCAATGTTATTTATTTCTGTCCTGATCTTTATTATTTCTTTTCTCCTACTAATTTTATGTTTGCTTTGTTCTTGCTTTTCTAGTCCTTCAAGGTGCATCATTAGTTTACTTGAGTTTTTTCAACTTCTTTTTGATATAGGCATTTATTGCTACAAACTTTGCTCTTAGTACGCTTTTGCTGTATCCCATAGATTTTGAAATGTACTTACATTTTTATTTGTTTCAAAAGAGTTTTATATTTTCTTCTTAGTTTATTCACTGACCATATTGGTCATTTAGGAGCATGTCAATATCCATGTGTTTGTGTACTATCTGAGCTTCCTCTTTTTATTGATTTCTAGTATTATTCCACTGTGGTCAGAAAGATATTTGATTTTGTTTCTAACTTTTTGAACTTGTTGAAACTTGTTTTGTGGCCTAAAATATCATCTATTCTGGAGAATATCCCATGTGCTGATGAAAATAATGTATATTCATCAGCAGTTGGATCAACTGTTCTGTAAATGTCAGTTAGGCCTTTTTATTTTAGTATAGTTTAATGTCAATGGTTTTTTGGATTTTCTTTCTAGATGATCTGTTCATTACTAAGAGTAGGGGTGTTAAAGTTTCCTACTAGTATATTATTATATTGCAGTCTATCTATCCCTTTAGATATATTAATGTTTGCTTTATATACTTGGGTACTCTGCTGTTGAGTGCATAGATATTTACAATTGTTATCTTCCATTCTGTATTGACTCTTTTATCTTTATAAGACCTTCTTTGTCTCTTTTTACAGTCTTTTCTGGTCATCTATTTTATCTCATGTAAGTATAGCAACTGCTGCTCTTTTTGGTTTCCATTCACATGAAATATCTTTTTTTTCCTACACTTTCAATCTAGGTGTGATTTTATAGGTGAGGTTTCCTATAGGCAGAATTTAGTTGGATCTTGCTTTTTTATTCATTTAGTCACTCTATATTTTTAATTGGAAAATTGAGTCCATTTACATTCAGCATTATTATTGATAAGTAAGGCCTTACTACTGCCATTTCATTGCTTGTTTTCTGGTTGTGTTGTAGCTCCTCTCTCTCTTTCTTCCTGTCATCTTTTGTTGTTAATTGATTTTTTTACTTGTAGTATGTTTTAATTTGTTGATTTTTACTTTTAATGTATCTATTATAGGTTTTTGCATTGTGGTTACCATGAAGCTTATGTGAAATATCTTATAGATATAACAAATTATTTTAAAGAGATGACAACTTGTATTAGATAACACAAAAAAGAGTAAAAACAAGCAAACAAATAAAAAACTAAAAACAATCTTTATATTTTGACTCTATCATCCCACATTTTGATTTTGGTTGTCTCAATTTACATTTTTTATTGCCTATCTCTTAAGTTTCTGGAGCTAATATTATTTTATATGTATTTATCTTTTAGGCTTCATGCTAGAGTTATGGGTGGATTGCACACTAAAATTACAGAATTGGAGTATTCTGGGGATGATTTTGTACTTAATTTTACCAGTGGATTTTGTACCTTTAAATATTTTCTTTTTTCGCATTAGTATTTTTTTTTTGTTCAGATTGAAGAGTTCCCTTTACCATTTTTTGTGAGGTAAGTCTGGTGGTGATGAATTCTCTTAGCTTTTGTTTGCCTAGGAAAGACTTTGTGACTCCTTATTTGAATGATAGCTTTGCTGGATAAAGTGTTTTTGAATGGCAGGTTTTGTTTTTTGTTTTTTGTTTTTTGTTTTCTTTTCAACACTTTGAAAATATTCTGCTCCCTCCTGGCCTGTGTGGTTTCCACTGAGAAGTCTGTCATCAGATGATTGGCATTTCTTTACATGTTGTTTGCTTTTTTTCTCCTGCTGCTTTTTAGGATCCTCTCATTGTCTTTGGCCTTCGAGAGTTTAATTATTATATGTCTTGGCGTAGTCCTATTTGATGTTCTCTGTCCTTCCTATACGTGAACTTTTATTTCTTTCTCAAGTTTTGGAAACTTTTCTGTTATTATTTTTTGAGTAAGTGTTCTACCTTGTTCTTTTGCTCAGCTGCCTTTTGAATACTAGTAATTCTTAGATTTTGTCTTTTGAGGTAATTTTCTATATCTTATAGGTAGTCTTTATTCCTTTTGACTTTATTTTTTTGTTATTTCTCCTGTGACTGTGTACTTCTAAACAGCCTGTCTTTGGGAGCACTGATTCTTTCCTCTGCTTGGTACATTCTGCTGTAAAGAGCCTTCAATGAATTTTTGAATTCAGCAAATGTGTTTCTCAGTTCCAAGATTTTTGTTTGATCTTTTGTTATTATTTCAATCTCCTTGTAAAATTTATCTGATAAATTTATAAATTGCTTTTATGTGTTATCTTGGAGAGCACTAAGTTTCTTTCAAACTCCTATTTTGAATTATTGGACAGAGAGCTCATGTAACAGTCTTGTTAGGGTCAGTCACTGGTTCCTTGCTTTGTCTGTTTGGAGAGGTCATGGTTTCCTTTTCGCTGTTTTTTTTTTGTGTGTGTGTGTGTGAATGTACATCTATGTCTTTGCATTTAACAGTTATTCATTCCAGTTTTCTCTGCCTGGCTTGTTTTGGTTTTTATTGGCTATGTTTACTTAGAGATTCTTCATAATTTACCTGTTGAATTTCTTATACTTTTTTCCGCTAGGTCAGTGCCTCCTTTTCAGCACTAGATGGCACTTTAAGCCCATGTTTGCCTTTGCTCTAGCAAATTATCAGAGACTGATCATCAGAAATAGGGGAGGTCCCAAAGGGGATATCCTGGCAGTGTGGAACGGCTGGCTGTAATTTGTGCTCAGGGGCCCCGTGGAATGTACCTCCTACAGCATGGTACTGCTAAGCAGCCACTCCGATTTGGCATGTCATTTGGCTGAATTACAGAGCAGTTTCTAGCATTCAGGATGTTAGTCCTGCCTCTCTACTTTGTCTTTGGCTGTCCTCAGAGATGTTTCTCCTTTTAGGCACTCACCATGCTTCCCACAGTTTGAGGTAGGGACAGGTCTCCTGTCAGGGAACATAAGAAAGTAGAGAAGCTGACTGTCAACCTCAGTCTCACTTTCTCCAGTGTGGAAACTGAGAGTCAATCAACATTTTCCACATACTTGGGGCAGGGCAGATTCCAGGGAGGGGTGTCATTGTCATGAATATATGGCTCTCTTACCGTCTGCTGGAGTTTTTTTTACTTCTCTTTGGCTCCAGGAACTGATTCATCCTCATATTTGTGTTCTAGGATATTGCTGGTGATCATCTTGGTGCTATATATTTGTTTTTGGTTTTCTGTAAAAGGGAGCGAAGCCAGCTTGTTTCTATGCCACCATTTTCGAATTGGAATTATGACTATAGGGCACCACAGTCTTGAACTCCTGGGCTCAAGTGATCTTTTTTTTTTTTTGTCTGATATATTTTAAAAAATTTTTTATTTTATTATTATTACACTTTAAGTTTTAGGGTACATGTGCACAATGTGCAGGTTAGTTACATATGTATACATGTGCCATGCTGGTGTGCTGCACCCATTAACTCGTCATTTAGCATTAGGTATATCTCCTAATGCTATCCCACCCCCTTCACCCTACCCCACAACAGTCCCCGGTGTGTGATGTTCCCCTTCCTGTGTCCATGTGTTCTCATTGTTCAATTCCCACCTATGAGTGAGAACATGTGGTGTTTGGTTTTTTGTTCCTGCGATAGTTTACTGAGAATGATGATTTCCAATTTCATCCATGTCCCTACAAAGGACATGAACTCATCATTTTTTATGGCTGCATAGTATTCCATGGTGTATATGTGCCACATTTTCTTAATCTAGCCTATCATTGTTGGACATTTGGGTTGGTTCCAAGTCTTTCCTATTGTGAATAGTGCCGCAATAAACATACGTGTGCATGAGTCCTTATAGCAGCATGATTTATAGTCTTTTGGGTATATACCCAGTAATGGGATGGCTGGGTCAAATGGTATTTCTAGTTCTAGATCTCTGAGAAATCGCCACACTGACTTCCACAATGGTTGAACTAGTTTACAGTCCCACCAACAGTGTAAAAGTGTTCCTATTTCTCCACATCCTCTCCAGCACCTGTTGTTTCCTGACTTTTGAATGATCGCCATTCTAACTGGTGTGAGATGATATCTCATTGTGGTTTTAATTTGCATTTCTCTGATGGCCGGTGATGGTGAGCATTTTTTCATGTGTTTTTTGGCTGCATAAATGTCTTCTTTTGAGAAGTGTCTGTTCATGTCCTTTGCCCATTTTTTGATGGGGTTGTTTGCTTTTTCCCTTATAAATTTGTTTGAGTTCATCGTAGATTCTGGATATTAGCCCTTTGTCAGATGAGTAGGTTGCGAAAATTTTCTCCCATTTTGTAGGTTGCCTGTTCACTCTGATGGTAGTTTCTTTTGCTGTGCAGAGGCTCTTTAATTTAATTAGATCCCATTTGTCAATTTTGGCTTTTGTTGCCATTGCTTTTGGTGTTTTAGACATGAAGTCCTTACCCATGCCTATGTTCTGAATGGTAATGCCTAGGTTTTCTTCTAGGGTTTTTGTGGTTTTAGGTCTAACATGTAAGTCTTTAATCCTTCTTGAATTAATTTTTGTATAAGGTGTAAGGAAGGGATCCAGTTTCAGCTTTCTACATATGGCTAGCCAGTTTTCCCAGCACCATTTATTAAATAGGGAATCCTTTCCCCATTGTTTGTTTTTCTCAGGTTTGTCAAAGATCAGATAGTTGTAGATATGTGGTGTTATTTCTGGGTGCTCTGTTCTGTTCCATTGATCTATATCTCTGTTTTGTTACCAGTATCATGCTGTTTTGCTTACTGTAGCCTTGTAGTATAGTTTGAAGTCAGGTAGTGTGATGCCTCCAGCTTTGTTCTTTTGGCTTAGGATTGACTTGGTGATGCGGGCTGCTTTTTGGTTCCATATGAACTTTAAAGTAGTTTTTTCCAGTTCTGTGAAGAAAGTCATTGGTATCTTGATGGGGATGGCATTGAATCTATAAATTCCCTTGGGCAGTATGGCCATTTTCATGATATTGACTCTTCCTACCCATGAGCATGGAATGTTCTTCCATTTCTTTGTATCCTCTTTTATTTCATTGAGCAGTGGTTTGTAGTTCTCCTTGAAGAGATCCTTCATGTCCCTTGTAAGTTGGATTCCTAGGTATTTTATTCTCTTTGAAGCAATTGTGAATGGGAGTTCACTCCTGATTTGGCTCTCTGTTTGTCTGTTATTGGTGTATAAGAATACTTGTGATTTTTGTACATTGATTTTGTATCCTGAGACTTTGCTGAAGTTGCTTATCAGCTTAAGGAGATTTGGGCTGAGACAATGGGGTTTTCTAGATGTACAATCATGTCATCTGCCAACAGGGACAATTTGACTTCCTCTTTTCCTAATTGAATACCCTTTATTTCCTTCTCCTGCCTAATTGCCCTGGCCAGAACTTCCAACACTATGTTGAATAGGAGTGGTGAGAGAGGGCATCCCTGTCTTGTGTCAGTTTTCCAAGGGAATGCTTCCAGTTTTTGCCCATTCAGTATGATATTGGCTGTGGGTTTGTCATAGATAGCTCTTATTATTTTGAGATACGTCCCATCAATACCTAATTTATTGAGAGTTTTTAGCATGAAGGGTTGTTGAATTTTGTCAAAGGCCTTTCCTGCATCTATTGAGATAATCATGTGGTTTTTGTCTTTGGTTCTGTTTATATGCTGGATTACATTTATTGATTTGCATATGTTGAACCAGCCTTGCATCCCAGGGATGAAACCCACTTGATCATGGTGGATAAGCTTTTTGATGTGCTGCTGGATTCGTTTTGCCAGTATTTTATTGAGGATTTTTGCATCAATGTTCATCAAGGATATTGGTCTAAAACTCTCTTTTTTGGTTGTATCTCTGCCCGGCTTTGGTATCAGGATGATGCTGGCCTCATAAAATGAGTTAGGGAGGATTCCCTCTTTTTCTATTGATTGGGATAGTTTCAGAAGGAATGGTACCAGTTCCTCCTTGTACCTCTGGTAGAATTCGGCTGTGAATCCATCTGGTCCTGGACTCTTTTTGGTTGGTAAGCTGTTGATTATTGCCACAATTTCAGAGCCTGTTATTGGTCTATTCAGAGATTCAACTTCTTCTTGGTTTAGTCTTGGGAGGGTGTATGTGTCGAGAAATTTATCCATTTCTTCTAGATTTTCTAGTTTATTTGCGTAGAGGTGTTTGTAGTATTCTCTGATGGTAGTTTGTATTTCTGTGGGATCGGTGGTGATATCCCCTTTATCATTTTTTATTGCGTCTATTTGATTTTTCTCTCTTTTCTTCTTTATTAGTCTTGCTAGCAGTCTATCCATTTTGTTGATCCTTTCAAAAAGCAGCTCCTGGATTCATTAATTTTTTGAAGGGTTTTTTGTGTCTCTGTTTCCTTCAGTTCTGCTCTGATTTTAGTTATTTCTTGCCTTCTGCTAGCTTTTGAATGTGTTTGCTCTTGCTTTTCTAGTTCTTTTAATTGTGATGTTAGGGTGCCAATTTTGGATTTTTCCTGCTTTCTCTTGTGGGCATTTAGTGCTGTAAATTTCCCTCTACACACTGCTTTGAATGTGTCCCATAGATTCTGGTATGTTGTGTCTTTGTTCTCGTTGGTTTCAAAGACCATCTTTATTTCTGCCTTCATTTCATCAGGTACCCCGTAGTCATTCAGGAGCAGATTGTTCAGTTTCCATGTAGTTGAGTGGTTTTGAGTGAGTTTCTTAATCCTGAATTCTAGTTTGATTGCACTGTGGTCTGAGAGACAGTTTGTTATAATTTCTGTTCTTTTACATTTGCTGAGGAGAGCTTTACTTCCAAGTATGTGGTCAATTTTGGAATAGGTGTGGTGTGGTGCTGAAAAAAATATATATTCTGTTGATTTGGGGTGGAGAGTTCTGTAGATGTCTATTAGGTTTGCTTGGTGCAGAGCTGAGTTCAATTCCTGGGTATCCTTTTTAACTTTCTGTCTCGTTGATCTGTCTAATGTTGACAGTGGGGTGTTAAAGGCTCCCATTATTATTGTGTGGGAGTCTAAGTCTCTTTGTAGGTCATTCAGGACTTGCTTTATGAATCTGGGTGCTCCTGTATTGGGTGCATATATATTTAGGATAGTTAGCTCTTCTTGTTGAATTGATCCCTTTACCATTATGTAATGGCCTTCTTTGTCTCTTTTGATCTTTGTTGGTTTAAAGTCTGTTTTATCAGAGACTAGGATTGCAACCCCTGCCTTTTTTTGTTTTCTATTTGCTTGGTAGATCTTCCTCCATCCTTTTATTTTGAGCCTATGTGTGTCTCTGCACGTGAGATGGGTTTCCTGAATACAACACACTGACGGATCTTGACTGTTTATCCAATTTGCCAGTCTGTGTCTTTTAATTGGAGCATTTAGTCCATTACAGTTAAAGTTAATATTGTTATGTGTGAATTTGATCCTGTCATTATGATGTTAGCTGGTGATTTTGCTCGTTAGTTGATGCAGTTTCTTCCTAGCCTCGATGGTCTTTACAGTTTGGCATGGTTTTTCAGTGGCTGGTACCGGTTGTTCCTTTCCATGTTTAGCGCTTCCTTCAGGAGCTCTTTTAGGGCAGGCCTGGTGGTGACAAAATCTCTCAGCATTTGCTTGTCTGTAAAGGATTTTATTTCTCCTTCATTTATGAAGCTTAGTTTGGCTGGATATGAAATTCTGGGTTGAAAATTCTTTTCTTTAAGAATGTTGAATATTGGCCCCCACTCTCTTCTGGCTTGTAGAGTTTCTGTCGAGAGATCCGCTGTTAGTCTGATGGGCTTCCCTTTGAGGGTAACCTGACCTTTCTCTCTGGCTGCCCTTAACATTTTTTCCTTCATTTCAACTTTGGAGAATCTGACAATTATGTGTCTTGGAGTTGCTCTTCTTGAGGAGTATCTTTGTGGAGTTCTCTGTATTTCCTGAATTTGAATGTTGGCCTGCCTTGCTAGATTGGGGAAGTTCTTGTGGATATTATCCTGCAGAGTGTTTTCCAACTTGGTTCCATTCTCCCCGTCACTTTCAGGTACACCAATCAGACGTAGATTTGGTCTTTTCACATAGTCCCATATTTCTTGGAGGCTTTGTTTGTTTCTTTTTATTCTTTTTTCTCTAAACTTCCCTTCTCGCTTCATTTCATTCATTTCATCTTCCATCACTGACACCCTTTCTTCCAGTTGATTGCATCGACTCCTAAGGCTTCTGCATTCTTCACGTAGTTCTCGAGCCTTGGCTTTCAGCTCCGTCAGCTCCTTTAAGGACTTCTCTGTATTGGTTATTCTAGTTATACATTTGTCTAAATTTTTTTCAAAGTTTTTAACTTCTTTGCCTTTGGTTTGAATTTCCTCTTGTAGCTCGGAGTAGTTTGATCGTCTGAAGCCTTCTTCTCTCAGCTCGTCAAAGTCATTCTCCATCCAGCTTTGTTCCGTTGCTGGTGAGGAACTGCATTCCTTTGGAGGAGGAGTGGCGCTCTGCTTTTTAGAGATTCCAGTTTTTCTGCTCTGTTTTTTCCCTATCTTTGTGGTTTTATCTACCTTTGGTCTTTGATGATGGTGATGTACAGATGTGTTTTTGGTATGGATGTCCTTTCTGTTTGTTAGTTTTCCTTCTAACAGACAGGACCCTCAGCTGCAGGTCTGTTGGAGTTTGGTAGAGGTCCACTCCAGACCCTCTTTGCCTGGGTAACAGCAGCAGTGGCTGCAGAACAGCGGATTTTCATGTACCGCGAATGCTGCTATCTGATCGTTCCTCTGGAAGTTTTGTCTCAGAGGAGTACCCGGCTGTGTGCGGTGTCAGTCTGCCACTACTGGGGGTGCCTCCCAGTTAGGCTGCTCGGGGGCCAGGGGTCTGGGACCCACTTGAGAAGTCAGTCTGCCCGTTCTCAGATCTCCAGCTGCGTGCTGGGAGAACCACTACTCTCTTCAAAGCTGTCAGACAGGGACATTTAAGTCTGCAGAGGTTACTGCTGTCTTTTTGTTTGTCTGTGCCCTGCCCCCAGAGGTGGAGCCTACAGAGGCAGGCAGGCCTCCTTGCACTGTGGTGGGCTCCACCCAGTTCAAGCTTTCCGGCTGCTTTGTTTACCTAAGCAAGCCTGGGCAATGGCAGGCGCCCCTCCCCCAGCCTCGCTGCCACCTTGCAGTTTGATCTCAGACTGCTGTGCTAGCAATCAGCGAGACTCCATGGGTATGGGACCCTCCGAGCCAGGCACAGGATATAACCTCCTGGTGCGCTGTTTTTTAAGCCCATCGGAAAAGCGCGGTATTAGGGTGGGAGTGACCTGATTTTCCAGGTGCCGTCTGTCACCCCTTTCTTTGACTAGGTAAGGGAACTCCCTGACCCCTTGGGCTTCCCGAGGGAGGCAATGCCTCGCCCTGCTTCGGTTCGCACACGGTGCGCTGCATCCACTGTCCTGTGCCCGCTGTCTGGCAGTCCCTAGTGAGATGAACCTGGTACCTCAGATGGAAATGCAGAAATCACCCGTCTTCTGCGTCACTCATGCTGGGAGCTGTAGACCGGAGCTGTTCCTATTCGGCCATCTTGGCTGCCCTCCTCAAGTGATCTTCTTGTTTCAACCTTCCAAATTGCTAGAATACAGTCTCATGCCACTGTGCTTAGCTGATAATTTCTAAGAGTATAAAAGGTTCCTGAATTTAAAATGTGAGAGACTTGCTAATCAAGGAGAGTATATGCTTTACTGTGGAAATTTAATTCAGAAGGAGAGGTGATAGGTCAAGGCAAGGCGAAAGGAATGATAGAGATACTACCAGATCCTATAATTTAAAAAGTGAAGATGCATTGGGCAAACATTTCAGCAAGTTTCCTTTGAATAAGAAGTTTATATAAAAGTCAAAATGTGTTAAATGCAGGGAAATTAAGGTTAGAGATTTGCAAAATGTTTCTTTTCTCAACATTAATATGCCCTTCATTTGTTAAATTCTATACTGTGTACTTTAGCTATTGCTTTGAATTGGAAATTTCTATAAAAATTATCTAAAGTCTGATATTCCTGATTCCCATCTTTAACTTATTCTTACAGATAGCAGTCACAGTTTGCATTTTAAAATTTCCCTGCTTCTTACACTGTTTTGCCATTTAAAAGCTGAAATATAGTATCGTGTATTTCCAAACACTGATACTAATAATGTGTAACATTTGTTGTATGTATGTTATGAGCCTAGTACTCTTCTTAGTTCTCTACATGTATTAACTCATTAAATTTTTTAGAAATGAACACCTTTATTATTCCTGTTTTATAGATGAAAATCCAAAGAATGCAAAGATTCAATACTTAACTAAAGTTATTCAGTTAATAAATGATGAAGCCTGTTTTCCCACATAGGCAATCTGGCTCTGGAGCAACTTAGCATAGAATGGTATCCCAGAGGTTTCACAAATATTTATCCTCTCTCCTAAAAAAAAAAAAAAAAAAAGCTATAAAGAAAAAACAAGGGAGTAGTGAGACAATATCTAATTGATGAAATTAACCAATTTCATATAACCCTTTAAAATTTATAATGCTGGAATTCGTAAGTTGTAATCATACCAAATATAGTAGGTCTAGAATTACAATGCTGTTGCTATGTGGCATACATTTTTGCTGATTCAGCCTAAGAATAGGCACTCTCAAATTTTAAGGACTTGTTACAACATATCTAAAATAGTATAAAGTCAAAAACCTTGTCTCTAGAGCTGTTGTAACTATTTCTAATTCCCCAAATTGTGTGTTAGGCAATGTTAGAAGCTGTGACACAGTACTTGTATGATGATAATATAATTGGTAAATAAATGTTAGTATGGAGGAAAGTAAGAAAGCTGGTAAGTTCTGGGATCAGAGATGATTGTGCTGCAGATAAACAAGTCTGGCTGTGAAACTATGACCAGAATGAGGATCCAGAATAGTTAACGTGGATATCCACTCTTTTGACAGCAGCTATAAAGGCAATTCTAGGCTCTGTTACTGCCAGGACTTTGCTCTGGTGCAGTTCACTGGTGTAGTCTTTTCACCATTCTGGAAATAGACAATGGGTAGAACTCTTCACCCTATAGGGTGTGACTTGCTTTTCTAACTAAATATTTGTTGCTAATCAGTCTCAATCATGCAATTAATTTGAAAACTTAGACATCAGAGTCTTCATTAATCTATCCTATTTATCTTTGCACAAAGTTCATTTAATGAATAACTTGCTTTGAATTTGTGAGTTATTATTTAGTGCTTCAGAAATCCAATGACTAATGCCATGAGGCAAGCAGATGTGCTGTATCAGCTTCAGCAGTGTCATTTTCCTTGGCTTTCCCCTGTGAAGTTCTCAAGGCCTAAACCTCTTGAGCACGCAGTCTGTTGGCTTCAGGAATGTGAGTGGGATCCGGAGAAGGGCTCATGGCTTTGGGTGGGGAGAAGAGTGCAATTTGCATCTTGTTCACTTCCTCCCTGTTTTCTATGTCCAGATGTTATCAGGGTAAAATCAGAGCTCCTACTGAGTTATCAAGTCTTATGCATTTCTGTTTTCTGTCCAGGCCTTTGGAGTTAAGGAGAATTTAAAGAAATGGTGTATGGGGCGAAGGAAACAAACAAGGAAATGAAAAGCAGAAGAGAAAGCAGCCCAAGATGGTAACAGAGCTCAGATGGAACTTGTAAAGATAGAAATCACCTCCAGTGTAATTTGGGGTTAGCACCAGCACTTGAGGTAGTCAATGAGTTTCTCAATTTCAGGGCAAGGGTTCTAGTTTCAAGACTTAGGCTTCCAGAGCAACACATATAGGAGAAATACATACAGTTGAATGCAGCTTAAATGCATACAAGAGACAGTTACTTAGTGATATGGTTTGGCTCTGTGTCCCCACCCAAATCTCATCTTGAATTGTACTCCCATAATTCCCATGTGTTGTGGGAGGGACTCGGTGGGAAATAATTAAATCATGGGGGCAGTTTCCCCCATACTGTTTTCTTGGTAGTGAATAAGTCTCATGAGATCTGATGGTTTTATAAGGGGTTTCCGCATTCAGTTCTCTCTCTCTCTCTTTAGTTCTTGCCAAAACCATGTAAGAAGTGCCTTTGCCTTCTGCCTTTATTGTGAAGCCTCCCCTGCCATTAAACCTATTTTTCTTTTTCTTTTTCTCTCTCTTTTTTTTTTTTTTGGTGTGCACTTTTATTCAACTGGTCTCAAGTCAGTGTATAGGTAAGTCCTGGCTGCCTCCACCCACTCCCAGGGGGACCAAAAGCCTTCATACATCTCAAGTTGGGGGACAAAAGAGGGGGGCCACAAAGGCTGATCACTCAAAATAAAACAAAATTAAAAAGTATTAAGGTGAAGATTAAAAATTTTTTGCATTACATAATTTACACGAAAGCAATGCTATCACCTCCCCTTTGTGGGCTCAGAAGAGGACTGGGCCATTCTCCTTAGAGAGTAGTGGGGTGGCTTTTAAGAGGGCAACGGACTTCCTGTAACAATGCATCTCATGATATTTGGGATGACTATTTAAAAATGTACAATGTACAATCAAAGTCCTCGGCCACATTGCAGAACTTTGGGGGATGCTTCCTCCAGCCAACTGCTGTCACCTTCACTATTCCAGTTTTTAAATCCCGAGTCAAGCCAAAAACAAAACAAAACAAAAAAACAAATAAAGCCATGCCAATCTCATCTTGTTTTCTGCGCAAGTTAGGTTTTGTCAAGAAAGGGTATAATGCAACTAAGTTACAATCCGCCTAGAACACTTGCGGTGGATGAGGAAGGGGTCAGGCTCGTCGTATTCCTTGCTGATCCACATCTGCTGGAAGGTGGAAAGCGAGGCCAGGATGGAGTCGCTGATCCACACGGAGTACTAACTCTCCAGAGGAGCAACGGCACCAGGGTGGTGATCTCCTTCTGCATCCTGTCCTGCCATGCCAGGGTACATGGTGGTGCCGCCAGACAGCCCTGTGTTGGCATGCAGGTCTTTGCGGATGTCCATGTCACACTTCATGATGGAGTTGACAGTAGGATGCCACAGGATTCCATGCCCAGGAAGGAAGGCTGGAAGAGGGCCTGGGGGCTGTGGAACCTCTCATTGCTGATGGTGATGACCTGGCTATCGGGAGGTCGGGCAGCTCGTAGATCTTCTCCAGGGAGGAGCTGGAGGCCACTGTGGCCATCTCCTGCTCAAAGTCCAGGGTGACATAGCACAGCTTCTCCTTGATGTCATGCATGATTTCCTGCTCAGCCGTGGTGGTGAAGCTGTAGCGCCCACTCGGTGAGGATCTTCATGAGGTAGTCAGTCAGGTCCAGGCCAGCCAGGTCCAGACGCAGGATGGCGTGGGGGAGGGCATACCACTCGTAGATGGGCAGTGTGGGTGACCCCGTTACCAGAGTCCATCACAATGCCAGTGGTAAGGCCAGAGGCGTACAGGGACAGCACCACAGCCTGGATGGCCATGTATATGGCTGGGGTATTGCTGAAGGTCTCGAACGTGATCTGGGTCATCTTATGATTGGCCTTGGGGTTCAGGGGGGCCTGGGTCAACAGCATGGGGTGCTCCTCAGGAGTCATACACAGCTTGTTGTAGAAGGTGTGGTGCCAGATCTTCTCCATGTCGTCCCAGTTGGTGCCGTGCTCCACAGGGTACTTCAGGGTCAGGATGCCTCTCTTGCTCTGGGCCTCATCACCCACATAGGAGTCCTTTTGACCCATGCCCACCATCACTCCCTGGCACCCATGACAGAGGGGAAGATGGCCCGGGGGCATTGTCACCTGTGAAGCCGGCCTTGCACATGCCAGAGCCCTTGTTGATGAGGAGCGTGCTGATATCATCATCCATGGTGAGCTAGCTGCGGGCATGGATGCCCGGCAGAGCGGGGAGGGCGACGCTCTGTGCTTGCGGGGCGGACGTGGTCTCGGCTGTCCATTAACCCTATTTTTCTTCCCAGTCTCAGGTATGTCTTTATCAGCAGTGTCAAAATGGACTAATACACTTAGCTTAGCATGTCTAGAAAATTTTCCAATTACAGTTTTGACAAGAATATCATCTTTCTGCTCTACCAATCAGAGTGTTATGCCTGTCCCATTCCTAATGTGTTACTTTCCCATTGTTAACCCACTTAAAATAACTTTATGGTCTTGTTGAGATAGAACCTTTTTAAAAACAAAAAACGAATATTCTACTTAAATCCTATTGTTAGCTCAATTTTGTAGGAAATAAATATTTCAAGAATGGAATTAAAAAATAAACATGTATACAACGGCAGATATTTTATAAATCATATTTCTCTAATTTCAGAGATGTAGCAAACATACTAAACCTAATTCTCTTTTGGAAACAAAATTTATATTTCCAGATTATCTGGAAAAGCTAATTAATCAATAAGGTCCTTGGGGTTTTACTCTGTGTTTTGACAGCACCAATATATTCATCATGGTGTAGGGCATGAGGAAATAGCACAATTAATACTCATAAACATGAAATGTAAAAATGTATGGTTTTGTGCTGAGAAGTGTCACTTCTAATTGCAAATATGGCAGCTTTATTGACATCATCATTAACAGGATTTTTAAGCAATCTACCAGTAGTTCCAGATATGAGATTCACTTCTACTTCTAGAACAAATGTATAAGTATGCTTTTATTAATTGTTTTAATTTCAAATTTTCTATATATTTGAAATAGTCTTTAAAGTTTTCACAAACAAGCAAGAATTAGAAAAGTACTTCACTGTGCCTATTTATTGTTTAAATCTTTTATTCTTTTGTATTTTCGAATTGAACCAACAACTCTAATTATACTAAGTACTCATTCTAGGTTTTTTCTAAGCTTATCTATCAATCTGCAGTTCTCTTTTTGACACTCGAAATTTTATTATGACTTTTATATTTTAAAGGAAGATAATTATGTCTGCATGTATTTAAAACTGAGTCCTTAGATTATTGTTTCTGAAATGTGGCTGCTGTCCTTTAAACTCTCTTAGTATGTTACAAACACGTGGCATTAAGAGACTTTCTCTAAAGGAGTTATGAAAACTAACTTTTAAAAAGGTAATATACAATTTTCTTCAACAAATATTTTGCTTTTTAAGGTATTGCTTCTACTTAATAAAATAATACTTTTTCTCCTATCATTCTGTGGTGATAAGTTTTTCCCAAGAGATTTCTGATATTTGGCTGAGAGTGTAGATGGCCTTCTGAAAGGGCCTGGAGGAGTGAGCAGAGTTGTCAATCTGAGCAAGAAGGGCTTGAAAACTTCTTCCCTGAAAATGCACTGAAGCCTAGAAGTTCCTCACTGTTTAGAAACAAAGCTCAGTGGAAGGTGTACTCGAGACATGAACTTGGGATTAGAGAGAAGTAGAGTAACAGACCGGTATTTTGAAAGGTCTATGGGAGCCTGATATCGTGGATAAAGGCATCAGGCAAAAAGTCTATACAGGAGAGAGACCCAGACTCTAACTTAGAGTAGAGGTTAAGACCCAGTACAAGATAATAGGACTGCAGAATACGCTATGTCAAGATCTCAGAGTAGACCCCAGCAACTAGTGCTACTGCATACCCTGAGCAACTGTATGAGGCTAACCTGATATAGTTTAGGACTATCTCAGATCATCACTGTCTCTAATGCTTTCACTCCCCACTCTTGTCCTTAATATTTCAGTTACAACCTTATCTTTTCAGGTAGGCTTCCCCTAATCATTCAATTTAAAGTAGATCCCTTATAATCTCTCTCAGGATTTTTTTTATCTTTCATTATACTAATTTTGTAATATTATTAAAATTATTTTTTTCATATTAGGCTCCACCACGACAGGCACAATATCTTTTTATTCACTATAGTGTGCTCCATGCCTAGCATAGTGTCTGGCACACAAACAGCTCAATAAGGACTGTATTTGCTAAATAAACAAATGTTAAATAGGCAAATGTGCTATCTTAATAACTGGCTAGTGATTCAAGTAAACTGAATGGGGGTGGAATACACTGGACCAGGGAAAGAGCTAGGGTTTGCAGGACCCCACTCATTCTCAGAAAGGACAGAGGAGGTAACTTCAAAATCAAGGTAGAAAACTTAGTTAGTTGATTCTTGAGGAACTATTGTCTTTTCCCTCAAGAACTCAAGAAATAAAGCAGGAGCTAAGGGTGGCAAAGAACTTGTGAAATAAACATGCAGCATAGCCCAGGCCAGAGGTTTCCCTGGACTGAAACAAAAAAAGAAGACTAAATGGAAAGACTAGAACTCTTTTGAGTTGAGTCAGTGCCTTGAGCTGGAGCCAATTTCAGTCCGGACTGGGTTAACGTCTGAGCAGCAACATCTACAAAGGAAATAAGTAAATGGTCAAGAAAGAACTTCAAGAGTCCACCATGCTTCATTCTCATTCATGTGGAATCCAGGGACCATTACCACTAGGATTCTTTTTTTTTTTTTTTAACGTAGTCTCGCCTGTGGCCCAGGCTGGAGTGCAGTGGCGCCATCTCGGCTCACTGAAAGCTCCGCCTCCCAGGTTCACGCCATTCTCCTGCCTCAGCCTCCCTAATAGCTGAGACTACAGGCGCCTGCCACCACGCCCGGCTAGTTTTTTGTATTTTTTGGTAGAGACGGGGTTTCACCGTGTTAGCCAGGATGGTCTGGATCCCATGACCTCGTGATCCGCCCGCCTCGGCCTCCCAAAGTGCTGGGATTACAGGCGCGAGCCACCGCACCCGGCCCATTACCACTAGGATTTTAAAGATTGGTTATAACACTTACTTTATTTACTGATTTTTATTTTTTTTGCCTTTGGAACTTTAAGAAACATCTTTAAAAGTGTAAAGCAACAGCCGGGCGCGGCGGCTCACGCCTCATTGGTAGGCTATACATTAATTCAAAAAGCTGATGCCCAGGAACTAGTGTCTTCAACCCAACCCTGAGATTTAAACTTTTAAGAGATCCATTCACTGAAATAAATTATTTCCTTAAAAATAATTCCAGCTGATTGAATGCAGGATGGAAAAGATATGTATATCAACAAGAATATTCTGTGAAGCTATAGCATTTTCATTTGATTGTACATTTTTCATTCAGTGTATTTTCATTCACTGTAAGTTTGTGTCACACAGAATTTAGTGTTGAGATAATAAAAAAACAATTTACTGATAGCTATATTAAACTCAGTAATCTTACTTCTCTTGCCTAAATGATTTATTTCTGAATCATTTTTGATAGCTTAAAAGAATCTTGTGTTTGATGACACATTTTTAGAGTTTGCGGATGAAAAGTTTTATATTTTTCACAATGCTATTTGGTTTTTTTATATATTAAACTCATCTTCTTTTAAGATTCACACAGATCATAATCCTATTTCAAGGAAATTGCAGCATGCCATTGCCTTCGGTAGCTTTTTGTCTCAGTCATCCATTTGAGCTGAACAGCCAAGTGGTCCCTATTTATACTCTGGTTGCCCAACTGTCATTCCATTGTCTCCTTTTCTGGAGGACGTGGAAGTTATATTTATGACGCTGCAGTGACTAAGTTCTACTAGTTTTCTTCCTGCTCACTTGCTTCTCAACTCTTTTTAAATTTACGTTTTTAGTTTACGGATAAAATTGTATTTATTATGTACAACATGTTTTGAAATGTGTATGTGTGTGTAGTGGAAGAGTTAAATCTAGCTGATTAACAAATGCATTACCTCACAGAGTTTTCATTTCCATGGTGAGAGCACTTGATATCCACTCTCTTTGCACTTTTCAAGAATACAATATATCATCATATTTTAATGATATATGATGACTGTAGTCACCATGCTCTAAAATAGACCTGTTGAATTTATTCCTCCTATCTAACTGGGTATATATCCAAAGGAAATAAAATCAGTATGTCAAAGAGATATCTGCACTCCAACATTTACTATAGTAGTACTCATAATAGCCAAGATATTGAATCAACATAATGGTCCAACAATGTATGAATGAATAAAGAAAACGTGGTATATATACACAATGGAATACTATTCAGCCATAAAAAAGAAGAAAATCCTGCCACTTTTGACAACATAGATGAACCTGGAGGACATATGTTAAGTGAAATAAGCCAGTCACAGAAAGACAAATGCCACATGATTTCACCTATACGTGGATTCTAAAAAAGTTTAACTCATATTTGTAGAGAGTAGGATGGTTATTACCAGAGGCTGATATGGTTAGCAGAGAAGGAGTAATTGGGAGATATTGGTCCCCAACTCTTTTATTATTCCTTTTGACTTTCTCAGTAAGGGCCAGGAGTGGTCATATAATATTATATTGGTGACCTGTACAATCTGGGAAGAAAGGCTCCTAGTACACTGATGCCACACTGAAAAAGACAATGTGAGATGAGGCAGGTAATCCCATGTAGCCTCATGGCTTCCAGCAGTTAAGGATATCTGGTGAGTTGTTATGCTGTCTTCTAGGCTCAGTATTTAGAGCCAGCCTGTGCCATGTTTCTGAGTCATCAAGGACAATTGCTTTTTTGGATGTGCAATTCCCCACTGACTGACACATGAAGACAGTAACCTACTATTTTAAACTTTTAAATAATGTTTTGAAATTATTTGCTAATAAGCCATTTTTGAATATTGAACATTATAGACTATGTTATTTCAAAAGGAACAAGTAATATTTTCTTTTTTATGTGAATCACCTCTACTTAAGAAAAACTTATATCCTAGAAAATTAAAATTCAAAGTGCCAAACTGATCTTTGAAAGGATTCAGAGCAGAAGGAAATGACTCTAGGTGGGATTTCCAGAATTGAATTATTAACCAAATGGGCTCCACTTCATTACTGCTTGCTGAGCAATGGGCATACTTTGGGCCATGCTGTAATGAAAATGATAGGGAAGTAGGAACACAGGCAAGGCAAATGCTTTTCATTTTATGAATACTAGGAATTACATTAGGTTAACATGGCTCATGTGTTATTTCAACAAATAACACATTTGGGGAAAATATCTTCTGAACTTCCACAACTCTCATAATTTGATAATATAAAAACATTATAATATTAGGATATTGGCGCTAAAAGGAAGTTAATAATCGTTTAGTATAACTCCTACATTTTTAAGATAAAAAGTGTACATTCATGTTGTGTGACTGGCTTCAAGTTTCTTAACCAGGTTGGAGCAGAGTGAGGTCTTGGACCAATGCCTTTTAACATCCAGTCAAATGTTCTTTTGTGCTTAAATTAGTAATTTTTTCAGCCCCAAAACTTCTTGAACTAATAAGCAACTTTAGGAAAGTCTCAGGATACAAAATCAATGCGCAAAAGTCACAAGCATTCCTTTACACCAACAATAGGCAAGCAGAGAGCCAAATCATGAATGAACTCCCATTAACAATCGCTACAAAGAGAATAAAATACCTAGGAATACAGCTAACAAGGGATCCGAGGAACCTTTTCAGGAGAACTACAAACTACTGCTCAAGGAAGTAAGAGAGGAGACAAAAAATGGAAAAGCATTCCATCTTTATGAATAGGAAGAATCAGTATCGTGAAAATGGCCATTCTACCCAAAGTAATTTATAGATACAATGCTATTCCCATCAAACTGCCATTGACATTTTTCACAGAATTAGAAAAAACTATGTTAAATTTCATATGGAATCAAAGAAAATCCTGCATAGCCAAGACAATCCTAAGCCAAAAGAATAAAGCTGGAGACATGATGCTACCTGACTTCAAGCTATACTACAAGGCTACAGTAACCAAAACAGCATGGTACTGGTACCAAAACAGATATATAGACCAATGCAACAGAACACAGACCTCAGAAATACCACCACACATCTACAACCATCTGATCTTTGATGAATCTGACAAAAACAAACAATGGAGAAAGGATGTCCTATTCAGTAAATGGTGCTGTGAAAACTGGCTAGCCATATGCAGAAAAGTAAAACTGGACCCCTTCCTTACACCTTATACAAAATTAAATCAAGATGGATTAAAGACTTAAATGTAAAACCCAAACCATTAAAACCTTAGAAGAAAACCTAGACAACACCTTTCAGCTCCTAGGCATGGGTAAAGACTTTGTAACTAAAACACCAAAAGCAATTGCAACAAAAGCAAATATTGACAAATGAAATCGAATTAAAGAGCTTCTGCATAGCAAAAGAAACTATCATCAGAGTGAACAGACAACCTACAGAATGGTAGAAAATTTTTGCAATCTACCCATCTCACAAAGGACTAATTTCCAGAATTTACAAGGAACTTTGGCCGGACTCAGTGGCTCACACCTGTAATCCCAGCACTTTTGGAGGCCGAGAAGGGTGGATCACGAGGTCAAGAGATGGAGACCATCCTGGCTAACACGGTGAAACCCCATCTCTACTAAAAATACAAAAAAATTAGCCAGGTGTGGTGGCGGGCGCCTGTAGTCCCAGCTACTCCGGCGGCTGAGGCAGGAGAATTGGCGTGAACCGGGGAGGCGGAGCTTGCAGTGAGCCAACATCCCGCCACTGTGCTCCAGCCTGGGCGACAGAGGGAAACTCCATCAAAAAAAAAAAAAAAAAAAAAAGGAAACGACAAACACAAACAACCCCATCATAAAGTGGGCGAAGGATATGAACAGACACTTCTCAAAAGAAGACATTTATGTGGCCAAGAAACACATGAAAAATAGCTCAGCATCACTGGTCAAAAGACAAATGCAAATCAAAACCACAATGAGATACCATCTCATGTCAGTCAGAAGGACGATTATTAACAAGTCAGGAAACAATAGATTCTGCTAGTGAGGCTGTGGGAAATAGGAACACTTTTACACTGTTGGTGGGAGTGTAAATTAGTTCAACCATTGTGGAAGACAATATGGCAATTCCTCAAGGATCTAGAACCAGAAGTGTCATTTGACCCAGCAATCCCGTTACTGGGTATATACTCAAAGGAATATAAATCGTTCTACTACAAAGACACATGCACACATATGTTTACTGCAGCACTATTTACAATACCAAAGACATAGAACTAACCCACATGCCCATCAATGATAGACTGGATAAAGAAAATGTGGTACATAAACACCATGGAATACTTTGCAGCCACAAAATGGAATGAGATTATGTCCTTTGCAGAGACATGGGTGAAGGTGGAAGCCATCATCCTCAGCAAAATAACACAGGAACAGAAAACCAAACACCGCCTGTTCTCACTCATAAGTGGGAGTTGAACATTGAGAACACACGGACACTGAGAGGGGAACAGACACACCAGGGCCTGTTGGGGGTTAGGGGAGGGAACTTAGAGGATGATTCAATAGGTGCAGCAAACCACCATGGCACATGTATACCTATGTAACAAAGCTGCACATTCTGCACATGTAGCCCATTTTTTTTAGAAGAAATAAAGAGGAAGAAAATTAGTATTTTTTTTTTCAGCTCTTCCTCTAGCAGGAAGAAGATAGTCACCCTGCAAAGTACTCCTGATTTATCAACATGTTTCCTGTCCCATATCTGCAATGTAAAGTTTGGAAGGCCTGGGGCAGGGGGATGGAAGTACTGACTGTGAGCGTTGGTATGAGGAAGAAATGCCAGAAATGAAAGGGGCTAATGGCAAGAGCCACTCTGATGCTTGGGATAGGAACATAGGTTTTTGGAGAGAGAATCTGTCTATGTTTAGTACCACAGGTTAATCTAATACTTTCTCAATCATCACAAGGAATTATCTGAGATAGCTGCCCAACTGAAAAGGGAGTGTTTATGGCTCATAGGCACTTCTCTGAGTAAAATAAGGTTTATTAGGCAAAGCTAAGTGTGTAGCTTCTACATATGTAATTGCCTGATGGATTCATCTAGATAATCATCCATGTCTTTCTTTTTCTGTTGGTACTTTTTTGGTAAAGTATTTTTTCAGGTGCATTGAGTATAAAAGTAAAAATGATATAACTAAGTACTAGCACTATTTGTACCATATTGTACTTCTAATTTTCTTTTGTCCAATGATATTTTCCCTATACAGTATACAGTATGTTCTTTATCTTATCTCTGTCATTTCAAAGTTTCCATCAGAATACTGGCTGATCTCTTCAAATTCTTAGCTCAGATGCAGTACAGTATGCAGTACATGAGAAGCTGATAACCCAAAATGATTGGTTTGAGCAATATACACAAAATACCTCCTTTCATGCTCCCGGATGCCTTCTGTATTTTAGGGAAAAAAGGATATAAGCAATGTAGACTGTAATCTTGAGGTCAGAAACTGCTTTCTAAAAGAGCCAAATCCTTTTGGACAGTGAAGTGACAGTTTGCACAAAATTTCATTTGTTGAAGATACAGTTCATCCAAGGCTGGCGCTAAATAAGAGAAACAATGCATCCAGCATTTGAAAAACATGATTTATTTAGGCTATAATCTAATAGTTATTTAGATCAACTATAAGAAAGATTTCCTGCACAAAGACTTCCCTTAGGATCACAGGATATGAAAGAGCATACAATGAAGTTTAGCAGTTAAAATGTCTGAGTTTGTTAAGTGACTTAATGTAAGGAATTACAAGAACATGTGTGATAATATTGTGAATTTAAACAGCTAACTTATATAGTCAGTCTTTCTTTTCCTTCCTTCCTTCTTTCCTTCCTTCCTTCCTTCCTCCCTCCCTCCCTCCCTCCCTCCCACCCTCCCTGCCTCTCTCTCTCTTTTTCTTTTTTCTCTCTGTCTCTCTCTTTCTTCTTCTTTTTTTTTCTCAATTTCTTCAAATTGGATTCTCTGACCTCAATTGCTTGCCTCTATCTTAGAGTCCCATGTTTGGAAGGCAGTACTAAGATTGTGATAATAAATTCCTGCCCCACTCTCATTTTTTAAATGTTTCTGTTTTTCATTCCCAAATGTAAGGAGCACATCAGGGGAGACTATTCTGTTTACATGGGAGGATTTCAAAGCGATTTTATTTTACTTTAAATTAGGCCTATAGAGTTATGCTTTACGTACAATAAACAAGATCACCTTTTTAAAGGTTACAGTTGATGAGTTTTGACAAATATATATAGTTGTGTGACCATTATCATAATTAAGATATGAAATTTATTTTATTTTATTATTATTGTACTTTAAGTTTTAGGGTACATGTGCACAATGTGCAGGTTAGTTACATATGTATACATGTGCCATGCTGGTGTGCTGCACCCATTAGCTCGTCATTTAGCATTAGGTATATCTGCTAATGCTGTCCCTCCCCCCTCCCCCCACCCCACAACAGTCCCCAGAGTGTGATGTTCCCCTTCCTGTGTCCATGTGTTCTCATTGTTCAATTCCCACCTATAAGTGAGAATATGCAGTGTTTGGTTTTTTGTCCTTGCAATAGTTTACTGAGAGTGATGATTTCCAATTTCATAAATGTCCCTACAAAGGACATGAACTCATCATTTTTTATGGCTGCATAGTATTCCATGGTGTATATGTGCCACATTTTCTTAATCCAGTCTGTCATTGTTGGACATTTGGGTTGGTTCCAAGTCTTTGCTATTGTGAATAGTGCCGCAGTAAACATACGTGTGCATGTGTCTTTATAGCAGCATGATTTATAGTCCTTTGGGTATATACCCAGTAATGGGATGGCTGAGTCAAATAGTATTTCTAGTTCTAGATCCCTGAGGAATCGCCACACTGACTTCCACAATGGTTGAACTAGTTTACAGTCCCACCAACAGTGTAAAAGTATTCCTATTTCTCCACATCCTCTCCAGCACCTGTTGTTTCCTGACTTTTGAATGATCGCCATTCTAACTGGTGTGAGATGGTATCTCATTGTGGTTTTGATTTGCATTTCTCTGATGGCCAGTGATGGTGAGCATTTTTTCATGTGTTTTTTGGCTGCATAAGTGTCTTCTTTTGAGAAGTGTCTGTTCATGTCCTTTGCCCACTTTTTGATGGGGTTGTTTGTTTTTTTCTTGTAAATTTGTTTGAGTTCATTTAAGATATGAAATATTTTTTATCACAATAATAAGTTCCCTTATGTCCATATGCAATCAGTTTCCCATCCCTAGCCACAGCTTCTGGCAACCACTCATCTGTTTTTTTGTTTCTATGCCTATGTCTTTTACAAAATATTGTAAACTTATAAAAATAAAAGGCTTCTGCTCACAAAAGACACCATTAACAATATGAAAAGATAAGCCATAGGTTGGGAGAAGATATTTCAAAACATATATTTGATAAATTATTCATATTTAAAATATATAAAGTACTCTTACAACTCATTAATAGAAATACAAGTCAGTTAAAAGTTTAAAAAAATGTTTAAACAGAAACTTCAGAAAAGAAAATACATGACTGACCAATAGACATAGAAAAGTGTTTAGCATCATTAGTCATCAGAGAAATTCAAATATTGAAATATGAGTTATCCCTACATACCCACTGGAATGGCTAAAATGAAAAAAGGCCAATAAAAAGTGTTGATGAGCATATGGAGCAACTTGAACTTTCATGCATTGATGGTAGGAATACAAACAGCAATATAAATCCATCTGCTTGACTGATTGTGTTTATGTGTTTTTAATCTCAAAAAAAAAATCAACTACATGACCACAGCCACATATAGAGGTAAAAGGTTTTTAAAAACATGTTGAGAGTCAGTCATGGGAACTTTTTTAGGATAAGAGGCCCTCTGAGAACTGAAAGACTGATTGTAAAATGTGCTATTCCTCTAACTTTCTCAGTGGTAAATGTAAAACAATTCCAGTGCTCCAAAGCAAATTTCACTGAATCCGTGAAAATATCTTTACATCTATACACAGAAGACTTTTTGCTGTGAATATGATTGTGGGGATGCTAAAGAAATCAAGCAAGTTGTTTTCAGATTAGTTTCAACTCTCTTTGGGATGCAGATTCATAATTGGATAGGTCAATAGTATTGTGCAAAGTGATATCTGTTTCTCTTGTTTTCAGGTGACTTTAACAGAAGATGAGAGAAGCCATCCCTGTGCCTATACTCCATTTGTATTAGTCAGTTCTCACACTGCTATAAAGGTGTACCTGCGACTACATAATTTATAAAGGAAAGAGGTTTAATTGACTCACACTTCCGCATGGTTTAGGAGGCCTCAGGAAACTTACAATCATGGTGGAAGGAGAGAGAAGCAAAGGCATGTCTTACATGGTGGCAGATGAGAGAGAGCAAATGAGCAAAGGAGGATGAGCCCCTTATAAAACCATCGGATCTTTTGAGAACTCACTCACTATCACAAGAACAGCATGGGGGAAGCTGCCCCCATGATCCAATCATCCCCATGTTTTGAGGGCAGGACTCTCAACACGTGGGGATTATATGTATTACAATTTGAGATGAGATTTAGGTGGGGACACAAAAACAAACAATATCATCATTTCAGCCTCATTTCTTTTCCTGCCTAAAGATCTATAGAAATACTGACTCCTTTCTGTCTCTGCTTCCATTAGTTAATGGCCTGCTTTCTAGTAGTAAAGAAGATGGAAGAAAAGATTGGCATTAGAAATACAGAAGGCAATGGGGCACAGTGGCCTATGTCTGTAATCCCAGCATTTGTGACTCATGCCTGTAATCCCAGTACTTTAAGAGGCCAAGGTGGGCAGATCACTTGAGCACAGGAACTTAAGACCAGCCTGGGCAACAAGGTGAAACCCCTACAAAAAATACAAAAACTTGCCAGGTGTGGTGGCAGGTGCCTGCGGTCCCAGCTACTCAAAGACAGAGGGTGGAAGGATGGTTTGAGCCTGGGAAGCTGAGGCTGCAATGAGCCATTGATCATGCCACTGCATTCAGCCTCAGCAAGGGTGAGACCCTGTCAAAAAAAAAAATTACGGAAGTCAAGACAAAGATACAAAGATGGGAAATTGGGATGATAGCTCTCAATTTTCACTTGTAGTCATTTTCCATTCTTGTTAGGTTGGAAAAGAGAATAGGATGCCCTTGTTATTGTATCTTTGCTTTCTTTTTGGAATATTTTCTAATTTTTTCTTCAGTGAAGTATCAATGATATTTTTATATCTATAGCTCTAATATGCTTTGGCTGTGTCACCACCCAAATCTTATTTTGAATTGTAGCTCCCATAATCCCCAAGTGTCATGGGAGGGACCTGGCAGAAGGTAACTGAATCATGGGGGCAGATTTTCCCATGACGTTCTTGTGATAGTGAATAAGTCTCACAAGTTCTGATGGTTTTATAAAGAGCAGGTCCCCTGCACATGCTGTCTTGCCTGGTGTCATGTAAGATGTGCCTTTGCTTCACCTTCACCTTCTGCCATGATTTTGAGGCCTCTGCAGCCATATGGAACTATGAGTCCATTAAACCTCTTTTTCTTAATAAATTACTCAGTCTCAGAGATTTCTTTATAGCTGTATGAAAATTGAGTAATATGGGTAGATTGCAAAAAATTTGCTCCCATTCTGTAGGTTGCCTGTTCACTCTGATGATAGTTTCTTTTGCTGTGCAGAAGCTCTTTAGTTTAATTAGACCCAATTTGTCAATTTTGGCTTTTGTTGCAATTGCTTTTGGTGTTTTAGACATGAAGTCTTTTCCCATGCCTATGGCCTGAATGGTATTGCCTAGGTTTTCTTCTAGGATTTTTATGGTTTTGGGTTTTACATTTAAGTCTGTAATCCATGTTGAGTTAATTTTTGTATAACGTATAAGGAAGGGGTCTAGTAGCAGTTTCCTGCTTATGGCTACCAGTTTTCCAAGCACTATTTATCATATAGGGAATCCTTTCCCCATTGTTTGTTTTTGTCAGGTTTGTCAAAGTTCAGATGGCTGTAGATGTGTGGTGTCATTTCTGAGGCCTTGGATCTGTTCCATTGGTCTATATAGCTGTTTTTGTTCCAGTAAATGCTGTTTTGGTTGCTGTACCCTTGCAGTATAGTTTGAAGTCAGGTAGCATGATGCCACCAGTTTTGTTCTTTGTGCTTAGGATTGTCTTGGCTATATGGGCTCTTTTTTGTTCCATATGAAGTTTAAAGTAATTTTTTTTCTAATTCTGTGAAGAAAATCAATGGTAGCTTGATAGGAATAGTCTAATATCTAGAATCTACAAGGAACTTAAACAAATTTATGAGAAAAAAAAAACCCCATTAAAACGTGGGCGAAGGATATGAACAGATGCTTCTCAAAAGAAGACATTTATGCTGCCAACAAACATATGAAAAAAAGCTCATCATCACTGGTCATTAGAGAAACACAAATAAAAACCACAATGAGATCTCACCCCAGTTGGAATGCCTATCATTAAAAAGTCAGGAAACAGATGCTGGCAAGGATGTGGAGAAATTGGAACGCTTTTACACTGTTGGTGGGAGTGTAAATTAGTTCAACCACTGTGGAAGACAGTGTGGTGATTCCTCAAGGACCTAGAACCAGAAATACCATTTGACCCAGCAATCCCATTACTGGGTGTATACCCAAAGGATTATAAATCATTCTGCTATAAAGTCACATGCAAACTTAGGTTTATTGCAGCACTATTTACAATAGCAAAGACTTAGGACCAACCCAAAACCCCATCAATGATAGACTAGATAAAGAAAATGTGACACATATTCACCATGGAATATTATGCAGCCATAAAAAAGAATAAGCTCTGGCAGGGTGCGGTGGCTCACACCTGTAATCCCAGCACTTTGGGAGGCCAAGGTGGGTGGATCACATGAGGTCAGGAGTTTGAGACCAGCCTGGCCAACCTGGTGAAACCCTGTCTCTACTAAAAATATAAAAATTAGCTGGATGTGGTGGTGGGCACCTGTAATCCCAGGTACTCCGGAGGCTGAGGCAGGAGAATCACTTGAACTTGGGAGGCAGAGGTTGCAGTGGGCCAAGATTGTGCCATTGCAATCTAGCCTGGGTGACACAGTGAGACTCCATCTCAACAACAAAAAAAAAAAAAAAGGGAAAAAGAATACACTCATGTCCTTTGCAGGGACATGGATGAAGCTGGAAACCATCATTCTCAGCAAATTAACACAGGAACAGAAAACCAAACACCACATGTTCTCACTCATAAGTGGGAGTTTAACAATGAGAATACATGGACACAGGGAGGGGAAAAACACACAATGGGGCCTGTTGTGGGGTGGGGGCCAAGGGGAGGGAGAGCATTAGGACAAATACCAATGCATGTGGGGCTTAAAACTTAGATGATGGGTTGATAGGTGTAACAAACCACCATGGCGTATGTATATCTGTGTAAAAAACCTACACATTTTGCCATGTATCCTGGAATTTAAAGTCACATAAAAACAAAATAAAGAAAATGGAGTAATAAAAGCTCTTAAGAGTGTGCACAAATTGCTTTTAATTTGATTTAGTTATAAATAAAGAGCTTATAATAAATGGAAAAAATAAGAGTGTTAAAAATGTAAACAGATAAAAATTTTACTTTTTCTTTATAATTAGGAAGCACAGGATTTTTTTAAAGGTATTGGGACTGGTAATATTGTGATGGCTAAATGCCACTGTGCATATCTGAAGACCCTTAGAACTTTGCAGCACATAAGAATGCACCTGAATCTTTACAAACAAAAACAAAAACAAAAACAAAATTTACCAGGGATCCCAAGTTGGAATGCAGACTGTGCCAGAAGACTCTAATGGCATTACGCATGTATTATTCAACCTTATTGAAGGAAAGGAAAAAGGCTGTGGCCTAACTAACTTTGGAGACCTGTAGTTTGACTGAAAACCTTAAGGCTAAATACAAAAGGAAATATATATGAACACTGTTCTGTAGTTGATAAAATTTCATTCTCAAGGGCTGTAGGTTAACCATTCTGAAACTGCCATACATGTATAATCAACTATGTAACAGGATAATAATGGTGGGAGCCAGGTTTCTCACTGCTGGAGTGAGAAGTTACAGATAAGTAAGTGAATAAGACTAGAATGAACCACATGGTGCTGGAATAAAGTCAAAGAGATTAGTATGAACTCATTTTTAGCTTAATATAGATACAAATTAATAAAGAAGTAATTATAGATATGCATGTGTGCATTGCTTTGCACGTACCTGTACATGTCTTAGCTCTGTCTTCTAAGAGGGCCTGGAAACAGTGACATGACATTAGTATTGAGCTCACCAAATCCTAAGATCTTGGTTTCTAAAGTTATCCTCCAATAAAAGAAACCAGGGCTCCTTGGAGAAATGGCTGATTCCAGGGCTGTGGTAGGGAATGTACAAGATGAGCCTGATGCATCTTGTTGTGTGAGAAAGTAAGGAAGTGCTCTAAACAAAATGATGAGGATATGCCAAAGTGACACAAGAGACAACTGATGGAGCTTACAATGGTAAAAGATGAAAAACAATTTGAGCAAAAAGAGTAGATAATATTTTATTGGATTATAACCCAAATTATAAAATAAATATGCCTGAGTCCACACTTACATAAATAAATAATTGAAGAATAAATAAATGAAGCAAAGAGACAAATCTCCTGAAAAGAACCTCAAATAATTTGTCTATGTACACCACACCCCAAGATGGTGGAGCTTAACTCTCCATCCCTTGAGTGGAGGATATGCTTAGTGACTTACTTCCAAAGTGTAGAGTATGAAAAGAGGAAATGGTAACTTTACAGTATAGAAACCTTACAAATACTACCTCAGCATGGTAATCAAGGCTCATGTTATCAGTGATAACTTATGATGATGGTATGTACATTAATATGATGTGATGAGAATGGCATTTCACTTTTGTGGTCTTCCTTTCAAAAACCCAAAACTATAGTCAATAAAAATATTAGACAAACCCCAAATTGAGGAACATTCTACAAAGTATGTGACCAATACCCTTCCAAACTGTCAACATCATCAAAATCAAGGAAACTGTCTGAGAGACTGTCACAGATCAGAGGAGGATAAGGAGACATGAGGACCAAATGCCACGTAGTATCCTAAATGAGATTCTGGAACAGAAATAAAGGGCGTTAGAGAAAAATTAATGAAATCCAAATAAAATATGGAGTTTAGTTACTAATGATGTGCCAATATGGGTTATTATTGCCAAATGGACCATAATAATGTAAGATGATAACACCAGAGGAAATTGAGTTAGCATATACAGGAATATTTTGTCCTATCTTTACATCTTTTATATAAGTATAAAACTATTCTAAAATGAAAAGGTTTATATGAAACTTAAGTTGGTAAGTTTTACTTTCTATTTATAATTATCCTTAAAAATTAGGAAAAATATGAAGTGGTATCAATGAGCAAATAAAAATAATAATCCTGTTCCAGACAGAAATATGGAAAGCAATGAGCAGAAACAAATTCTTTAATATCTTATTTTAAATTTTGATATACTCACGCGTCAGATAACAGTTTGATGCTAGATAGTTTAAATGATGTTGCCTATAATTTATTTGTAATATAAATTATTTCAGAGAAAAGGGATATAATTTTAAAGAAGGTATTGCTGTTTCATCCCAGACCATTTCAGATCCTCAGAACTTAAGCAAGCTAACTTGGTTCATTGGTTTTGCTATTTTAATTCAATATAAAGACAACATTTTAATCCAAGATATTTCTGTCTCACGTAAAAAGTAGAGGAAATTATTAGATTCCCAACCTTTAGGCAGGGTTATAACTCTTAATTTTCATGAAATGAGGTAAACTTTCTCAGGGACATGAAAATATAATGAGTTTTTCTTTTTAAAAGATATCTTACTTTTTTTAGAGGGGATAATTGTATCCTCATTGATAGTAGAAGATAACTTTTAGGAGTTTCAGACTCCCTGGGAATTTTCCAAGAAATATTGAGTGTTGTGGGAGGGAAGAGAGAATAAAAGAATATGCCACTGCCTAGAAAATCCCCATTGTTTTTGCTTCCCTGAAGTAACGTATCAGTCTTGCACCACAAAACAAGCAATAATTGTTTGCTACAAACACTCTGGAAGTGAATTTTTAATATATCTTTTGAGACTTTTAAGACCACAAGTAAAATTGAAGTCAACTTTCAGCAAAATGTAACTCTTTTGGGAAGCAGTGATTCATGACACTTGTTCCTTGGGAATCATGGGAACAGATGTTCGAAATACCACACACAGCGGTGATGTCAACTTCAAAAGGAACTGGAGAACTGAGGCAGCTTTCCAGATAGTGTTGATCACAAGGAAATTTGGGCCTCAATTATCCTGATGTCACATAGGGACTCCAACCTTTCAAATGCTCCCCTTAGGAAGTAAAATACTCACTTTTAGGAATTTTTATAAAGAAAAGACAGAGACATAAGCAAAAACATGGTCATACACATGGTTCAGCTATTTTAATCTACTTGAAAGAGCTTTAAGAGTTAATTACAAACTTTGCTAATAGAGCTTTTCATTTAAGCTATGCAGATGGTTTAGAACTTTATTAGAAGGAGAGAAAGAGAAAACAAAGCAACAAATAGTGGAGAATTCATACAATCTCAGGTTTGAAGGTACAATAGGGTCTCAATTCCTGGAATATCCCTGGGGTACCATGCTTGTCCCCATGTCATTAAATGTCTCCCTTGATCTACTTGACTCTCAAACATTTCCTGGATTGAATTAAGTGGCCATTCCATTGAAAGGTCATTAGATCCAGCACCTATTCATAGTGTTCTCTTGAAGTGATGGCCTGAAGTGCAGAAAAACAAAGCAAATCTAGAGAACTGACGCATGTGACCACACATAATAAAGTATCATGCACCAAATGCTCAAATTTCTTATCGAACATTTTTATATAATTTTTTTTAATCAAAGGTGTAGCTCCTGAGATTTGGAGTTTCTAATGAAAAGGTATTCTTTTCTAACAGGTAATGAATTGGGAAATAAGACAAGAACTAAGGCAGACAAGAAATCTAAGTATCACCTACATAATCGATAGAGGTAAGTTATAATATGTAACTTAGTGTGAAAAGAAAATGAGCTTCCTAATACTGATCCCCAGGACTGGATAGCTTTCATTAGTCACAGAAGTGCTGGATCAGGACAGGGTTCTCCATTTTACATGACATCCCTCACCCTGGAGCCGTTGCAGAGAATTCCAGCTGCCTGTGAGAAAACCAGTGAGATCAGGGATGAACACACACACAGAGAAACAGAGACAATAGACACTCTGTGTGTGTGTGTGTGTGTGTGTGTGCGTGTGGTGTGGGAGAGAGAGAGACAGAACATGATGCACAGAAAGGAGTGTTTTCACAGTCATGCAAACTGTTTTTGTTCAGGTTAGTCCCTTGCACTTAGAGGGCTTGGCCCAGATAAGAGTACTAGCATCAGAATCAGAAGAAATCATCAGCCATCCATAGGCCATTCAACTCAAGAGAAAGCAAGTGCTGAGCAGAGTGTGCCTAGTTTATTCTTTTTAACTGTACCAGTCAGTACATCTCAAATAGATAGAAAGGGGCCAGGCTTGTAGCAATGAAGCTCTGTGAAAGGAAGTGTCATGACTGGAGAAGAGTTCCTCCAAAGAAAACTGCAATTATTAAGATGAGAGGGAATATAAAAGGTTTCTACTGGCTTAATTCTCATGATATCATGATAAAGCAACATTTTAGATATGAAATTAAGTTTCCCGAAAAAGTAGATTAATTTCTTAGCATTGTTGTGAATGTGGAGTTCCTATGAAGCTGCTTTCTGAATTGCAGATTATGTTTCTCTTTCGAATACCTAATAGTTCCCCCAAACCTTTTCACATTGAAAATTTAGCTTTTTCCTAGGCCCACTTCTCCATTTTGATGCAACTATCATAATGACACTATCAACAAAAGAGTGACGTTGTTTGAACTGGTTACCTGTGGTTAGGGTCGTCTTGTGCATGAGCTGTTTTGAGTATGGATTTGATTAGTAGTACTGTACCTGAATAAATTTTATTTTTCAGATTGATTGTTCACATCACTTGTGATCTCAAGCGATCTCTATGGAATCAGTTGCATTATCTGCCACAAATCATCATGTCAGCAGGGTTTTCATTCTCAGTCAAAATTACAGACTTCTTACCTATTTGTGGGGAAAGTGAACACAGGAGTGTGCTGATGAGTTTCAAAGCTGAACACATTGATTCATTTCCAGGGAAGAAAAAGGTAAGAAGATGATATGTTTCTCATCAGTGGACTGAAACCTGGACCATCAACAGTACATTCTGTTTTACATTTAGATTAAATGCTCTTTTCCCCAGCAGCTACCTGGTGATTACCACAGAGGGGATTTCGATCAGCATGGTGAGAGGAGTGATTGCATTTCCTCCGCATCCACTCAGTCTTCCCTTTGGCTTTTGAGATATGCAGAGGACTGAAAGGCAAGCGAAGTGATGGCTTCCCTGACTCAGCCCTTTGGGTACCTCTTTACTTTGGATAGAACTGGGACTTTAGGAATGAGATGCTTCTCACTGATTTCATGAAACACCATCTTCTCAAAGACAAGCTCTCATCCAAGGGCATTTACCAAAGCAGCTCTCCAAGCAAAAGCAAAGCTCAGGACTTGAGTTGGTAATTTTTTACTTTAGGTTAAAATTCAAATTCCTTTGTAGTCCTTTTTTTTTTTTTTTAATACTTCACCCACAAATAGAGAACTTCTTCTAAAATTTTACATTTTCGCGGAGTGTAGCATGGGTCATTTCTCTTCTTAAACCCTTTTATTTACTGTTCAGTATTCATTTTATTTATTTATTTATTTATTTATCTATCTATTTATTGAACTGATAAAAGAGGTTACTGAAATTTCCCACTGGGGTCCCAGAGTTTCTATATGGTCACCTAGAAACTCAAATGTAACACATTCTGAATTATATATTGTAGCTTTGCTTATATATTAGATTACATTATTCAGTTTATTCCAGAAAACATGGGAGGGAAAAATAAATCAATACCAAGAGCAGAGAAGCATTCCATTGTTTCTTCCCCAAGACTTCCAGGAACATCTGGTCTCATTAATCTCTAGTGCCTTGCTATATGTGATAGACATATCCTGAGTTTCCATTCATCTCAAGCATGGTCCATTGGAAACTGCTGTTGCATAGCAATGCTGACAGATGCTTTTAGAACACATGTTTTTTAAAATGTTCAAAAGGCACAGCATTGTCTAGCAGGGTGAGAATGGAACACAACATGTTTTACCTTATGGCTCTTGCTGTGGAGATGGCCCAGGTCAGAAACAACTGAAGGATCAGTTCAACAAATTGGGTGGTCTTAGCTTAATTTCTTACAGATTACCAGTGTGGAGCAAATGTTGACAACCACAGAGTGAATTATGTTTGAGCTTCCATAATGCAGTTTCTGAGAGTCTGTGGTTTAGGACCATATAGTGCAGACACATTAGGAAATTCTGTGTAAGAAACTTTGGCAATTGTATTACTTTAAAATTCAAAAAGGGATTCACCTTATGTAAAAAATAAAGCTGGAATTCTGTGTAGGGGCTGACCTTAACATAATTATTGACTTTAAGCAAAGTGAAAAGTTGTAGTGAAAAGATGATGAATTTTAGAATCAGACAGATGAGGTTTGAGTTACACTTAGGGGAAGCAATTTAACAAACTGTAACTTTGGAAAAAGTGATTTAACTTCACTAAACCTCTATGTCCTAATATATAAAATTGGGATAAAATTGTCCACCTTTGGTGATTGTGAAGCTTAAGTTAGAGAACAGGTGACACACCTGAAACAGTGGGTTTATATTTTCACTTCTTGAATCAACAAAAGTAGGTAAGTGAAAGTTTACTACATATACTGAGTCAATTATATTAAAAAGTTCAAATTGCTCATTCTTTTGGGGTTTTTGGGAAAGTGGAAAGGAGGAATTATAGCAATGTCAGAAATTACACCATAGGTAAAATCATGGAGGTGTGCTAACTGGGGAGGTGAGCTACAGGCAGCGATGAAGTTAGGCCATTTAGTGTAGGTCTTGAAACAGGAGGAGCACAGTTCAGCAGGCCATTCTAGCACAGTGCTTTCTGCCCTGGGCACATTTTCACCTCACTCATCTGTACTATTCAGCAAACTGTTTCTCAGTTTGTGAGAGAATGTTTCCTGATTTATCAGCCCTCCCTCATGTTAAAGAGCTACTTTGCATTAATTGTGGCAGCATATTCTTGAGAATGTGAGACTTTCAGAAAGAAGGACCTTCTAAAAATTTCCGAGAGTGGTCGTGAGGTAATATCTGATTGTAATTGTGGAGGCAAATTTCTCTTCTTTCCATAGGATTTTAAAATTTCAGGACACAACTCAATTTTCATCTTTTTCATGAAGTCTCTTCCAACTTCTCCCCTTTTTGTTCTTCTTTCCTGCATTTTTATAGAATTTAGCATCAATAGTCACAATTTAACTCTCAAGTATGTACTACCTTGGGTTACAGATTTGATCTTCTTTTCTCCCATCTGGATTTTTAATACTTTGTCATTCTGCTAAATACTACTTATCAAAACTCCTAATGTAGCACTGTTACATAGAATGTAATCAGCAAGTACTTTTTGATTGATTGGCTGATATTTTGATGTTTTAGTGTAATTTATCCTGGTATTCTAAAACAGTAAGTGGATATACTTCTGGTAATGATGAGAAGTTCTACCCTCTTTCCAGGGCACATGGGAGCACACACTTCCCAGTTGTTTTGTGGAGACATGTGACGAATTCTGGCCAATAAGCTGTGAGTAGAAGTAATGTGTCATTTTCAGATTCTCATACTGAGGCAATGAGAAGCCCCTGCATAACTGTGGGGGCCATGTGTGGAAATGGTGAAGACACATGTATCAGAGGCTGTGATGTACCACCTAGACTGCCACTTTGGAAGGATCACTCACTTCTCAGCTAAGTTGCTAACTGGCTGCAGGCTATAGACAGCTGAATACCTCTTTGGGAATTGCACTAGCTAAAGCGAGTTTCCAGGTCCAAGGTTACACTGTCCGTATAAGACATGCTGTATTCAAGGTACAATCCTCTTGCTTCAACAGAGATAACTGAAGAAAGAATGTCAAGACTCCTTGGGGCAACTGCATTTAAAATCAATATTTCCCCCTGCCTAATTCTGCTTCTCTCCCTCCCTTACGGATGTTGTTCCCAAGGGCACCCCCCACCAGCCCTTTTGTATGTGTATATCTACCTCAGTCTGTTTTCCAGGGAACCATAACAAAGATTAAAAATTTACAGAAGAATTTTTAATCTTTGTTCTGGTTCCCTAGGGAATTGAACAATGAGAACACTTGGACACAGGAAGGGGAACATCACACACTGGGGCCTGTTGTGGGGTGGGGGGAGTGGGGAGGGAAAGCATTAGGAGATGTACCTAATGTAAATGACAAGTTAATGGGTGCGGCACACCAACATGGCACATGTATACATATGTAACAAACCTGCACGTTGTGCACATGTACCCTAGAACTGAAAGTAAAATAAAAAATATATATAGATATAAATAACCTAATAAATTATGAAAAAGTATCTTAAAAAAATTTACAGAAGAAATGTAAAAGGGGAGCAGTTTGAGTCCTGGGGGATTTTTGTAGCCATCTACCTAAAAAATATAGAGACTAGGATTCAGGAAACTTAGTTTCTGCTAGTAGACATTTTTCTCAAATAATTTACTGTGACTCAGTTTCTTCATCTGCCAAATAAAGATAGTAACATATGTGCTGAGGGGGTCAAAGAACTATTTTGTCCATCAAATGTGAAAGTGGATCAAATATTATAATGCTTTTTAAATAAGCTATGATTCTACTGGGTTAGAATAATAATAATGCTTTAATGTAATCATCATCATCACCACCACCACCACCACCACCACCACCATACTCTTCATGAATAAGTAAGTTATAGATTAATGCAGCATAATGAAAGCACCCTTGTAACATTCTTTCTGGATTTCATCCCACTTATACCTGTAGATAGACTTTTACCTGTAGATATCCTTTGCAATATAATTGTTGACTTATCTTTCTCAGGCTTCCCAGCAGATTGGCAGGAGACAGGGGACAGTTTAATAATTTTTAGCACTCCCCACAGTATGTAGCATAATGTCATACATTTAATAAGAGCCCAGTGCATATCTATTAAATATTTTATTTGGGAACTTCAAACCAGGGAACATATATAGAAACTGTTATTTCACAAATGTTTTTGATTCATGATTCATGTTTGTAAATAAAAGTGAGACAGATGGACATTAAGAGGAATCAGTGGGTCAACATCAGTCCCATTCCCCATTTTCACTTTAACTTGGAGAGGAGAGATTCAATACCCTCAAGGAGAATATCAATATCGTGTTTTAGTAAAACATGCTTGGAAATGGTAGAAAAGAGCTATTTTGAATTGAGTGTTAAACAGCAGAGTGTTAAACAGGCAAAAGCAGTGTAAAGGAGATGGTACATCTCCTACTATGGGAAAGAGTCCTGTATCTCAATACTGCCAGCATTGTGTGCCAGGGAAGTTTGAACCAAATTTTTTTTGTAATTTTTTTTTTTTCCCAATCAGAAGAGGCTGTGTCGAGGGGAGAAAGGAGAATTGTGTTGCTGTCTTTCAGTCAATTTTGAATCAATTTCAAACCCCAGAGACACAAATGTAATTCTGGCTTCAGGAGTGAACATTCAAGAATAATAACAAAAAGTAACAACAGATTGATTAAAAAAAACAAAATTTCAGGCCTCAGGCAGCTTGAAAAGAAAGTTGTGAATGATGTTGAAATTAGGAATTAATCTCATTTTAGAGCAATGCTACTTTTTCACTAATCATACCACATGAAGGCATTATTTTTTTCAGAGAGAGGGTTCTGGCTACAGAGTCTTTTGAAGTAGTTAATACCCAGCTATTTTGTTTGCAAAATAGAATTATACTGCTATACTTGATATTTTGTTTTTATCATCGCCGGGCTACATCTGCTTGAGGAGGCTGAAAGAGGTCACTATGATCTCAAATATGTCATTAATAACCAGCAGAGTGTTAAACAGGCAAAAGCAGTGTAAAGGAGATGGTACATCTCCTACTATGGGAAAGAGTTCTGCATCTCAATGCTGCCAGCATTATGTGCCAGGGAAGTCTGAACCACATTTTTTTTGTAATTTTTTTTCCCAATCAAAAGAGGCTGTGTTGAGGGGAGAAAGGAGAATTGCTTTACTGTCTTTCAGTCAATGACAGACTCATATACTTGTTGGCAAGAAAGAGAAATATGTACTCATCATTCCATAGCACATTTCAATGCAATTACTTCATAATGACTTCTACTATTACAGGGATTATCTCACCAGATTCATTGTGATAAATCTTCACATGGAGACAGGAAATAGAATGTTATTATAAGATGTTGGTGAGTTTACTCAAGCAGTTAGGATAAAAGGAGCATAAAATTTGCCCCCCTAAAATACCTTTAAACCCAACCTGTCTGAATACTTCCTACCACTCAATTGTAGTCTAAACCACTTTACAAGTCATTTTATTTTATTTTACATATACCATTTAAATGATTGGCCTAAATCATACAATTGAAAAAGTGACTATTTTAGTTATAAGCTCTCCTTAAGGTTAACACTCAGTCTAGAACAAGCATAGTGAGATTTTTTTGTTTTTTGCATAATATGGGCTGGAACATGTACAAAGTTTCAATAAAGCATATTTTGTTAATAATTGCTAGGCATAGTTATGGACTGCTGGGAAGAGGAGAGTAGAGAAAGTCCAATCTGAGGGGAAATAATTAGAAGTAGAAGAGTTAATTTTAGCCAGATGTTTAGCCTGTCAAGGTGGCAGTGTTGGAAATTGCATTTAGAGGCAAAGATTACTAATCATGCTGCTTCATCACAAATCCTCTCTGTAGCCATTATCTTCTCTATTTGTGTGCGTTGAGTTTGTACTGCCCATAGCATTACCTGGTTCTGCTTTGTGCTTCTTCATAAATTAAAACATGTAACATGCTAACATGTATTTTGGATGATTCTGTTTGGTGAGATCCTTGGGCCTGGGCAGGTGATTGACCATTTAATGTCAATCAAAATAAGTTTTAGGTTCCCATGTATTCTCAGATAATCTTGGTGTCATTCTTGAACTTTCTCTGGCACTCATTTTTCACATTGAATGTGCCATCGGTGCCTACAAAATATGTCTGGTTCTCACATTGCTATAAAGAAACGCCAGAGAGTGGGTAATTTATGAAGAAAAGAGGTTTAATGGGCTCACAATTCCTCAGGCTGTACAGGTAGCATGGCTGGGGAGGCCTCTGGAAACTTTCAATCATGGGGGAAGGTGAAGGAGGACTGGCACTTCACATGGCTGGGAGCAGGAGCAAGAGAGAGAGTGGGGAGGTGCTGCACACTTTTAAACAACCAGATCTGGGGATAACTTCTCACTCAATATCATGAGAACAGTCCCCAGTGGTGTGGTGTGAAATCATTAGAAACTGCCCCCATGATCCAATCTCTTCTTACCAGGCCCCACTTACAACACTGAGGATTACAACTGAACATGAGTTTTGGGTGGGGACACAGATGCAAACCATATCACACTTCTTGCCACCTCCACTGACATCCCCTGGCCCAAGTGCCATCATCCTGCTCATGAATCATAACTGTATCTCCTGACTGGTATTCCTTCTTCCATCTAGACTCCTTTCAGTCTATTCTCAATGGAACAGCCAGAGTGATCCCGTGAAAACATAAACGAGATCATGTCATTCCTCTATTCAAAAGTCCCCAGTCACACACTGTGGAAAGGCAAATATTTGTGCTGTGACTTTGAAACCTACATGATGGGCCACGTGTTCCACCACACTCCTTCACTCCCTTATCCCCAGCCACCCTGGTCTCCTCACTCATTCTCAAATACCTGGGCAGCCCTGCCTTGGGGGCTTCACACTTCATCTTCGTTATGCCTCAAATGCTCTTTTCCAGATATCCACAAGGTTGACTCCCTTCTTTAATTACGTTTTTATTTCAAACTCAGGTTTTACATAAACCTTTCCCTGGCCAGCCTAACCAAAATCTTAGCACATCCCTGCCCAACCCCACTGTCATTTTCCCCTGCCTTACATTTTTCTCCCTAGCACTTATTAGTATATAACACATACTAAATATAATCTTGTTTATTTTTACCAGTTTTGTTCATAGGTGAATCTTGTTAGCAGAGTGCTTAGGACCTGGTAGATACTCCATACATATTTGTGAAGTGAATGAACCTATTCTGAATTCAATACATGGCCTTATAGCCTTTCATACTAAGTCATGCTCCAATTTTACATGATGTCTTATTCTCACTCTTAGTGATAGTAAGTTTAGCAAGTTACTGAATAAGGAATTTTTTGGGAGAAGAAGTTGCATCTTTCCACAAGCAAAGAAATCGGAAGTTAAAGACATTCTCATAGCCAAAGCGTTATGGAGGAGTTCGGCTGTCACTAGGCTAATTGGGCGCTCAGTTAGAGAGTTTAAAAATATTTGAGTCAAACAGAAATACATTATTGCTCTTGATTCTTTTTCACAGTATTGAATATTGAGTAAGTAAAAACTATTAGCAGAGTAAATGAATTTAAAATATTTATTTAAGAAATGACACAAATTATCATTCACTTCTGAACACAAGGTTTACCTGTGAATCATTCTTCCTTGAAATGGCTGAAAACTAAGAAATAAGTAATTTCAAGGTTCTGTTTCAGGCATTGCTAACTTCAATTAAAGTGAGCTAAGGCTACAGCAGTAAGAGAGAGTGGATCTGGTGGCAACTGCTAGTTAGAATTAGAGCATTTCATATGTGTAAAGTACCACAAATTTGACTTTCTGATACCACACCTTTGTGATACTACAATCTCTGCTCTGGCATCCTTTTTTTACGGTCATCCAACATATATTTAAACACACTCAATGATGAGAAATTTACAACATTTTTAGGTAGTTTATCTTTGGGCGATTTTGTTAGAAAGCTCACTTATATTGACTCAATTTCTTTGAAGTTTACCTAGAAGATATTCACTAAACAGTATTGACTGAATAAATGCATGATTGGATTGGGTAAAATTAATTTGCAAAGAAGGTGACATAAGAAACAGGTATCCTGACAAGGCTTGACGGTTCATAGACTGGCAGTGATTAAAGGTGCCAGAAATCTTCAGAAAATTGATGTAAGAATTAAATAAAAAACTATACCCTGAGATTATTTTCTGTAGAGGCAAATAGGCCTTCACCCTCCTACTCTGAGGAGAATAAGATGCAGTTTAGTATAATAACTGATATTTATAAAAACTGTGTGTTACTGAGAAGAGGTTCTATCATGTAAAGTATATTTTTAAGTTATCTAAAAATATATTTACATGGTAATATTTGTTCTCCAATAGTAGCAAATAAGTAAGACCTTATTGTAATTCTGAAAACAAGTCAGACTTCTAAAGATTGTATGCACATTACGTTCAAATCAAATCTTTCTGAGAATGGGACAGAAATAAGAATATGATAATAATGCTTTAAATGTAATGGAGAGGGACTTATTAGAAGCATGCATTGAATTTGAAGCATAAAGATATTCAACTGAGCAAAATAAAATAACTTTATTTTGAAATCCCTTGTATGAATTTATCAAGTGCAATGCCTATGGTCAATTAGAAGAAACCGGACTAAACTTGAAATTCTGCCTGTTCATTTCTGAGGCACTTTTTGATATGTCAAGTTTGCTTTCCCATCGTTCTAGCTTTGATAAATATTGATATTTATATATTTACCTCTGTATTGTTACATGTATATGTATATATAAGGAGGGAAACACAAACACATATCATATATTGCAAGAAGGCCTAAATCGCATTTGCTGTTTTAGATCTCTACTTGCCTCTAAAATGACAGCATTTCATAGTGGGCTCCAAGTTACGAGATCTGGTTTCTTGTCCCAGATCTGGCATTGTACACTGGGGGGCAAGCATTTACAATCTTCATATGCTTGAGAATTTTTCTGATTAAATGATTACTAATGTCCTAGCTAACTTCAATATCTTATAATATCACAATCCTATGAGTATTTTGGATTGGGAAAATCTCTCACATCTCTAATATGTGAATGTCAACCAAAGGATAATGGGAGTGAAATACCATGATGATATGTGCTGGGCATCTGCCACTTGCTACTCAGACTCCATCCTTTGTACTGCGAGGCTGCAGGAGCCAGTCTTTATGGATTACATCAATAGGGTCCCTTGAACTCAGAGGAGGGGAAGAAAAAAGGGAAGGATGAAGAGTGAGGTTGGAGTGTATATTCCTTTGCTTCTTTTCTGCAAGTCATTATTGCAGGCAGACTGTGTGACTCAAGCCTGTAGCTCCTGTCAGTTTACAGTGACTGCCCACCCTCCTTGCTTCCTCAGGCCTACCCAGTGCCATGTTCTTAGCCCTGTTGTACTACACTCCTCTTTGTGAATTCCTTATTCTCTGACCACATTTTTGCAAATATTTTCTTCGTTAAAGTCATTACAAATTATGCCAAGCTGAATGTGGCATCACTTTCCTGCTGGGATCCTAAGTGGCTGGGAATACAAACCCCTGGGTGGCTGCAGCTGGGAGGATGGCTATTGTGTTGCACGGGATGAATACTGGAATTACTCCCTCTGTCTCAGTCATCAACCAGGCACTTCCTCTCTCTGACCAGAGGCACAGGAAACCACAGCACTCTCATTGCTATGGGACAGGTCAATGGAAAACAGTGACACACAAGACAGAGCACTGCAAGCAGAGGGAGAGAGAGTGTCTCTCACAGGCTTTTGCAGAGTGAAAGGAAAGCCAGTCTCCGGGAGAAAGCGTTATTTTGTGCTGAGAACACGGAAGAGTGAATCATCTCAGAAAGATTGCTCATTTGCAGAGTAAACTCTGTGTCGTCAGAGAGGAAGAGGTTGGGGATTTTTCACAAAAGTTACCAATCCATTGATAAAAGGAAGAAACAATCTATACTCGGCCAGCCTGTCTTTTAATTGGCAAGATCCAGTTTCTTAGCAGAACTGAACAACTTAGAAGGGATAGAAACTGCGCCAAGAGAAAGGAAAAGACCAGACTTGTTAGCATCTGACTAAGAGTTCTCATCAGTTATAGTGGAAAAAGCAAAGTATAAAAAAAACCTTGAAATTAATACCAGAATCCTACTGTAAGTCATTTTGGTTTGTTATATGGACATTTGCTTTAGTTAAATAGATATGGAGGTGGATGATAGATGGATAGATAGATCAATAGAGAATTCCATAACATATGTTTAGACATTTTCATACAGTCCCAAATTAAAGAAGTGTGAATTGAGTAAACCTCACTAACCTTTCCAGTTAGGATACTTATATTTGCGGTAGGTATTTAAAACATGTTTTCATTTACGGAAAAAAATATATTAAGTACCGAGTATATGCTGAGCATTGTATGAATAACCAAAACAAACAGCTTTATTTCTCTTTATGTGTTAATAAGTGAGAAGGACATATAAAGAATGAAGCACAGTGAAGCATTCCAATTATAGCTGCCATTCCTTCTGTCCGACATGATTTTCCATCCGATCACCATGTGACTCATCCTTTATCACTTTCCTGTCTTATCTCAAACAGCACCTGTTCAGTGAGGCCTTCATGAATCTTTATAACATTTTAATCCTCCCACTTTCTATTTAATTTTTTTCATATAATTTTTAAAAATAATTGTCATTCTCCACCTTCATTACAGAATACAAACTCAATGAGGGAGAGTTTCATGTTTTTTTTTTTTTTTTTTGGTTTGCTTTGCTTAGTGCTTTAACTCCAGAACTCAGAACAGTGCCCAGCACATACAGGAGTTATTTATTTTTATTTTTTTTTTTTTTTAGTGAAAGGTAGGAAAAAGGAGGGGGAAGGGGTTCAGGGGAAACACTCAGGAGAGGAGTCACTTTTACATTTGAGGTGAGGTCAGGAAAGGCTCTGTGAAGCTCTTACCTTTGATCTGAGTCTTGAAAGATGAGTGGTTTTTTAGGTGGTGGTAGAGGGTGTTGAATAAATAAAGGCAGTGATCTAAAAGACATATCAATCACATTTATTTGAGTGCTGATTAAAGTTATAAATGTTTAATTGGTACCCTCATTAATAGAAATTTTTCTATCACTATATATATATTCAATCAGATTCTGGAGGAAAATGCCTGGGAAAGGTTGAGTAGTAGTTCTAGCTCAGGTGATTTTGTCCCCCCAGGGAAATTCTGAAGTGTCTGAGACATTTTTGGTTGTCACACTGATAGAGAGTGCTATTGGCATCTGGTAGGTAGAGGCCAGGGATATTACGAAACATTCCACATTGCACAAGACAGTGCCCCAAACATAGGCTCATCTAGCTCAAAATGTTAATAGTGACACAGATGAGAAACTCTGATTTAAAGAGAATTAGTGAAATTGAGACTAATCTCTAAAGTCTGTGCCAACACTGAATCTGAGGTTGTTTTTGAGTAGGATTTGTTTTAAACTAATTTCATTGAAGGTATACAGGATAATTAAGAGCACATTTGTTATGACTGAAACAAATCTGAGTGTCCCTCAAAGTATGTGTTAGCTTTTTTGAATATGACTGTCATAGAGTCCAGTAGTCTACCTTGTCTTCAGGGAATACGTTCTAAGGCCTCCAGTGGATATTTTAAACCACAGATGGTGGCAAACCCTATATATATTATGTTTGGTTTTGATCTGATAACTGAGATGGTTACTAAGTGACTAATGGGCAAGTAGCATATACAATGTGGATACACTGAATAGAGGAATGATTCACGTTCTGTGGGGGACAGAGTGGGGCAGTGAGTGATTTCTTCAGGCTACTCAGGGTAACTGAAATTGTGGAAGGCAAAACAATGAATATGGGGGAACTACTGTGCATTGGCCTAATATAGTACATTGGGCTTCATGTTTTCCTGTAGGTCTGTCTTGAGCTGCTATAACAGAATACCTGAGGCTGAATAACTTATAGTAAACAGAAATTTATTGGCTTACAATTCTGGAGGCTGGAAATTCAAAGATCAAGGTGCTGGCATTTTGTAGGGGCATTCTTGCTGTGTCTTCACAGAGCAAAAGTTGGAAGGGCAAAGAGAGAAAGAGAACAAACCCATTCCCAAGAGTCATTTTTATTATGGCATTAATCTATACATGAGACCTCTGCCCCCATGACCTAAACACCACCCATGAGGCCCCAGCTCCCAACACTGATGCACTGGGGATTAAGCTTTCAACACATGAATTCTAGGGGATACATTCAAATGATATCACCATTTCTGCACTGATTCTGGAATATTTCGGAAAAAATAGCTATCCTAAAATTACAATCTAGTGGGAGTTCCCCAAGTCAGGGGACAGAAACTTAGTTGCCATTGCTACTGTAATTAGTATAATATCTAGGCATAATGATGTTAGAAGTGTGGACAGCATCACTATTTTCATCCCCCACAGGCACATGTACCAAGTGCTAAGACAGCACAATTCTAATATTTGCAAAGACATTTCATATTTATATTTAAAAATACTTTATCATGGTAAGAACACTTAACATGAGACCTAGTCTCGTAAGAAATTTTTTAAGTGTACAGCATTTTGTATTGTTGACTATAGGCACTATGATGTGCAGCAGATCTCTAGAACTAATTCATCTTACATAACTGAAACATTATACCCATCGAACAACTCCCTATTTCCCATTTTTTTCAACCCCTGGTAACCACTGTTCTACTCTCTGCTTCTATGTATTTGACTATTCTATCTATGTACCTAAAGTAAATGGAATAATGCAGTATTCGTCCATCTGTAACTGGTTTATTTCACTTAGTACAATATCCCCAAGGGTCACTCATTTTGTCATATATTAAGGAATTACCTTCTTTTTAAAGGCTAAATGATAGTCCATTTTGTGTGTGTATGTCCATTATCCATTGTGTATATATACCGCATTTTCTTTGTCTATTCATCCATTGATGACTACTTAGATTGATTCTACACACACATGCACACACGCACACATGCACACACGCACACATGCACCCACAAATGTGGTATACATACCACACTTTCTTTTTTTAGATTTTTAAATGATTTTAACTTAATTTTTTTTAAATTGACAGATAATACTGTATGTATTTACTGTGTACAACGTGATGTTTGGAAGTGTATATACATTATGGAGTGGTTAAATATACTGAAGTAACAAATTCACTACCTTATATAGGTATCATTTTTGTGTTAAGACCACTTAACTACCATTCTCTTTGTATTTTTCAAAAAGACAATATATTGTTATCACCTATAGTCACCTTGCTCTATAATGGGTCTCTTGAGTTTATTTCTTCTAACTATAATTACAAATCTTTTGACCAACACCCCTTCCATCCCCCTGTTGCATAACCATCCTAGATTCTGGTAACCATCATTTTACTGTCTACATCTATGAGATTGACTTTTTAAGATTCCAAATATAAGTGAGATGTGCAGGGCTTATTTTACATAATCTGATGTCCCCCAGGTTATCCATGTTACTACAAATGACAGAATTTTCTTTTTATGGTTGAATAGTATTCCATTGTATATATATACACCACATTTTCTTTGTCTATTCATCCATTGATGGCCATTTAGATTGATTCTATATTTGGCTATTATGAATACTGCTGCAACTTGGGAGTTCAGCTATCACTTTAATATACAAATTTCATGTCCTTTTGATATATACCCAGTAGTGGGATTGCTGTATCATATCATAGTTCTATTTTTAATTTTATGAGGAACCTCCATACCATTTTCCATAATGGCTGTAGTAATATACATTCCAACTGACAGTGTATAAGGGTTCCCTTTTCTCCAAGTCCTCACCAACACCTGTTATGTTTTGTGTTTTTGGTAATAGCCATTCTAATTTAAATGAGGTGATATCTTATTGTGGTTTTGATTTGCATTTCCCTGGTGATTACTGATGTTGAGAATTTGGTCATATACCTATTGGCCATTGTAGGTCTTTTCTGACAGATGTCTATTCAGGTGTTTTACTGATTTAAAAAAATGTTTCAATAGTTTTAGGGGTACAAGTGGTTTTTGATTACATGGATGAATTGTATACTGGTGAAGCCTGGGCTTTTAATGTACTCATCACTTGAGTAGTATACATTGTACTTGACAGGTAATTTGTCATTCCTCACTTCCCTCCCACCCTTCCCACTTCTGAGTCTTCAATGTCCACTGTACTACTCTCCATGCCTTTACACAATCCATAGCTTAGCTCCCCGTTATAAGTGAGAACACACGATTTTTTGCTTTTCATTCCGGAGTTACTTCACTTAGGATAATGGCTTATAGTTCCATCCAAGTTATTGCAAAATACATTAATACATTATTCTGTTTTTTTTTTGAGGCTGAATATTATTTCATGGTGTGTGTGTGTGTGTGCACGCGCGTGTGTGTGTATGTTTATATATATGCATGCCACATTTTCTTTATCCACTCATCAGTTGATGAGCACTTAGGTTGACTCCATATCTTTGCAATTGTGAATTGCTCTGTGATAAATATAATGTGTGCAGGTATCTATTTTATATAATGACTTATTTTCCCTTGATATACTATACTTTCTTTATCTGTTCATCCATTGATGATTGGCATTTAGTATGTTTCCATATCTTGGCACTTCATAATTTAAAATAAACTTAGACAAGACAGCAAAATACTATACTAGTTAAATTAAAATTTGATTTTCAACAAAATTAAATTGCAAGGTTTTATTTGCTTGTTAAAAATATTTTGCTGTATTTGTTCACTGTGCTAGGAATTGCATACAGGGTGATTTTATGAAGATAAAAACCTCTGGGATATAGCATATTTTTATATGGAAGCTGTGTGAATGGAAAAATATATATTTTAAAGAAACTGTTTCTTTTTGAGCTCTGCCACTTGCAGATATCTATGGGAAGATTCTTCTCATTATTTTTACGTGGTTTATAGCAAGGGACATTTTCCTGAACATATGTCCCAGGGCTGCATAGGCTCAATCCCCAGCTGACTGCTCTCTTAAATTGAAATGCAACGTGTGCTGCACTTCATCTCCCAATATCTTACCCCTGGATCACATCTACTGTGATGTTTATTTATATAAAGTTGCATGTAGAAATCCGGATCCATTTTCCTGACACCAGTTCAAACATGCTTGAGCCAATCATTACAATCCAGATTTCAGCACTAATACTTGAGAGGCAAAGAGATTACCTATATGTCGTCTGCCTGAAGTGTTTTGGCTGCAACCAGCAGACTTTAAACTGGACAATCTTGTTTAATGTCTACATATAAATGGGACAAAGCTGATGCCAACAAGCCAGAAGACCCTGAAATAAGAACAAACCTTAACCCAAGGCATTTCATCTCAGGCACAATTAATACTTGTCCCTTTCGCTTTATGTCTTCCCAAACTTTAGCCAAATTTGGAAATTGGTTCAGACATATTTTTCTCCTGCTTTTCCTTTTTTTCCCCTAAAAGTAATCCAAAAGGAAATTATTTAATAAATTATTGTAGAAAACGTAATAAGAAACAGATCATCAGTACATTCCATTGGAGAATTCGAAACATAGGCATGAATTTATCACAAATCCTAGTGAACAATAAGGTTGGGGGGTGCAGCACTTCACCCTCAAGCTGTCTTCTTTATTTCCCTTTCATTTCTTCAATTAATAGACTTTATTTTTCAGAGCAGTTTTAGGTTTCAGAAAACATAGGCAAAAAGCACAATTTCCCATATTACACACCCCCTACACTCCCCACCCTCTTTCTCTTATCAACATCTTGCATTAGTGTGGTACATTTTTACAACTGAAGAGCCAGTACTGATAGATTATTAACTCTAGTTCATAGTTGACCCAGGGGTTTACTCTGTCTTGTATATTCAGTGGGTTTTGATAAATACATAATGTCCTGTATCCACCATCATAGTATCATATGGAATAATTTCACAGTCCTAAAAATCCCATGTTTTTTACTTTATATTCTCTTATACCCCTTCTGAACTCCAGCATCCACAATTTTTTTTTTTTTTTTTTTTTGAGACGGAGTCTCACTCTGTCACCCAGGTTGGAGTGCAGTGGTGCGATCTCAGCTCACTGCAAGCTCCACCTCCCGGGTTCACACCATTCTCCTGCCTCAGGCTCTCGAGTAGCTGGGACTACAGGCAACCGCCACCGTTCCCGGCTAATTTTTTGTATTTTTAGTAGAGACGGGGTTTCACCATGGTCTCGATCTCCTGACCTCCTGATCCGCCGGCCTCAGCCTCCCAAAGTGCTGGGATTACAGGCGTGAGCCACCGCTCCAGGCTGCATCCACTAATGTTTTTACTGTCTCTATAGTTTTGTCTTTTCCAGAATGCCATGTAGTTGTACTCATATAGTATGTAACTTTTCAGACTGGCATCTTCCACTTAGCAATATGCATTTTCATGCCTTGACAGCTAATTTCTTTTTATCACTGAATAAATACATTGCATGAGGTAAGGTACCAGAATTTGTTTATCGGATTTTTTAAATTAAGGGAAACAAATATAATATATTTTTAAACAAATGGTTGATTTTTTTTGATGGTTTCAAAAAAAAGTAATGAAATGTCATTGAATGAAACAATTCGATATGGTGACCTCTAAGTGTCTGCCTAACAAGATTTAGTGGAGAAGATGCTAGATCATTTAAAGTGCATCTTCCTTAGGATGTTATTTGAACTTATTCCTTTGTGAAAACTTTCATGGAATTCACACAGAATAGTGAAGTCTGCTTTGTATAGAAATCAGTTATATGAACAGAGGTTTTTCTAGGAATTCAGAAGGTACTGTCAGTCAGCAAACCCATTGGCCTTTAAGGCATAGTCTGGTTTTGCTTGCTTCTCTAATGCTGTGTGTATTTTCTGTAATAAAATATTTTTGTCACTCTTTCAAATACTAGAAATAGAAAGCTAAATGTCTAAAGCACTCTACTAAGTAATTAGGAATTCAAATTTATACCTAGTTGTTAAAAAAATTAGCCTAAAACTTAGTGCCCACTGTAGGAGCTAGGACTATGAAAATATTTTTTAGGATATTTTGTTAAATAATTTAAAACACAAATTCTAGATAAAATAGGATCAAATTGTGTAAAGCATATATGAGCATAAATATTTATTAATATGTGTATATACATACATACATATACAGAAACACATACTCTTATATATCAAGAAATAAAAAGCCTGGAAAGCTAAGAATCAAATCTTAAATTTGGGCAATGGGACTGGAGTAGGATGTTCCCTTCTTGATAGTATTTTTTAAAAAGAAGATAGGTTATATGTCAACTTAATTTTTATTTTATTTTTCTGTTTTTTTTGAATTTTATTTTTCAAAAGGCTAGAAATATGTTTGAAACATTAAAAAAATTAAAACAAAACACACATTAGCAGCATAATTTGGGAAATATCCTGGATTTTTACATTTGAAGATTAAAGAAAATGCAGGTGCACGGTTTAATGTTAATGTTCAAATTACATTTCTAAATCCCTAACTAGCTTCTTTTAAAAGTTGTTCAAATGTTTATTCTAGGAAAGTTGCTGAGCTTATTTGAGAGTAGAAAATCATATGTATGGAAGGACCATGGCATTGGACACCGTATTCAAACGGATGGTCCAAAAGTAGCCCACATGCACGTCTCAGCAGGGTTTTCCTCTCCCTCTCTCAATAACCTAAATTTTTTCCCTGCTTATGCAAGAACTGAGATTCATAATGATCAAATATAAAATGATGTTAATTCAGGAGAGCAGACTGAACACAGAGAACTGCTGAGAATCTGCAGCACTGATCTTGGCCTGGACACGTGTGAGAGTCTGATCTCCATTCTGTCTAATACAAAGAAGGTCTGTGGAAGTGCTCAGTTGGAGCAAACAGGAATGTGTTGTGTCTCTGCAGTTTCCTGTCCCCCACCCCCCCACTTTCTTCTCCACAGAGATAGGTCCTTTGGTGAAAAGACATCTGTGCTTTCTTCTTTCTCTTCAAGACTGAATGTCATGATTTAGGACGCACAAATGTAATTTCAACTTTGACTGCCTGCTGGTTTATTTCATACACCTGCTCTTGGAGGAAGGAGAGACAGGATTTTAAGAGGCCATTTTGAGGATAGAACTGACATTTGACCTGATATATCCCACAGGAACATGGAAAACAAAAGCACTTATTCATAATGGGTGATTTGAACAACGGCAAAACACGTTTGCATTTTTATTTACATATCAACACATAGAGTTATTTCTTTCCTTCTTCTTCTTACTTTACTTAATTCATGAAATGAAAAGGTAAAAATGTCTGTTTTTATAGTTATATCCCTTGTGTCAATAACTTTTGTTTCTTGGACTCAGATTTTTTAAATGTCCCTATATAATATTTTAAGTTTCTGGAGTTAGGTACAAACTGACTATGAAAATCTACATATATAATTTTTCAGGATCTATGAATTTAAGTGTTATTAACTAAAATATCTTCTATTCAAAAGATTTGTTTATATCTGAGCACTAAGCAATCCAAAGATGGAATTATTATAAAAAGTAATCTTAAACTTGCTAAAAGTCAAGACAGCTAATAAATTGGGGATTGATTTAACAAATAATTCTTCATCCCTTAAATTGCTTTCTGTAATGAATGGTTATGGAGTGAAAGTTAATTGACATGGGCTTAATTTGTCTTAGGAAAATAAATACCAGGTTAAAAAAAAAGTAGATGATTAACAAAAATATATTATCCTCTGCTGTTTCTTTTGCTGATTATAGATCATGGATTTCTCCATTTTTTATGCCTTGAATTAAAGGATCTACCTCTACCAGTGTAGAATAAAAGCTGCCTAGGATGTTTAATTCTTTGTGAATTCTAACTTGCAGGAGCAAAGCAGGAAAAAAAGAAGTAGAAAACCTCTGGATTGTAAATATGAGACTAATGCTTTGGCTTTATAGTGACACCATGTATTTGTTAGAATTGATGAACAGCAGATGTCCTGAGACTTGTGAAACATCTGTAACAATCACCTGAAGGTGAGAAAGTAATCTGATTAATTTCCTTTTTGGGTTTCTTCTGCGCTTTTCATATAAATTATTTTTCAACCAAGTAGCTTTTCTTTCCATCATTCGTATATGGAATGTGGTAAAATAAGAAGTATCACAGTTCCAAAATATTGTTACAGATGGATGGCTCAGGAGATTGGGATTTTTTTTCTTTAGTTAAACAGTGCCCTGTCCTATCACTATAGACAATAAACCTGCCTTTTAATCTCTGGAAATTTTCTATGCTTATTTGCTAAGTTGGTAAGACTCAGTGACATGAAAACAAAGATGACTTATCCGTAGAATATTTTCATGATCAAAAGTGGCCTTCCTGGGATGTGTTCATATGTGGTGTCAATTAAACTACATAGATAAGGCAGAAACCTATTTCCAGCAGTTCCTCTGTGGCCTTCTACTGTTAAGCAATCAACTTGAATCTTCTAGAGTGAGCACACCAAGCCTCCCATAGGGTCCTTTCTGCATTTCTGTTTTGTAAAGCTTCATGCTCTTCGCTTCTTAGAAAAACTAATAACGTGTTGGGTTTAGTTGTAGATTATTTGCGAATCTGTAAAATAGAGGCATTTATCCTGAGAGGGACTGCCCATATTCTGGTACACACAGCTGTAGCTGAAGGGAGTAAATAAAAAGAGCTCTTTAAGAAAGTATTGTTTTGCCTTATGCTGAGATGGAAGAGTAAACTAAGAATCCATAGAATTACACAAGATTAAGTCCTGTCTACTTTTATTTTGCTTTCCCTGGGTAAGGGTTCTCCATTTGTTCATAGCCACAGTAAAACATGACCTCGGGATGGTGGTAACCTCTGGGACAAAAATTTTTATTTTCATTAAGATCATTCTTAGACCTTTATTTAGTCTACACTATTCAGCTTCAACCAAAAATGGATTTAAAGAAATACGTGATTCATGTTGGGAAATTTGCTAGCACTACACCTAATCTTTATCTCCTCATATTTAGTCTCTTTTATTTCTTTCTTTCTGATTCATCCTCTTAGCTCTTCAATGTCAATGACTAAACTTAGCTGAAAAGGAGAACTACAGGAGTCAACTCTGTAAGATATAAACAGACAGACATACTAAAATACTCATTTGCTCAGAGACTGCTGCTACCTTTGAGGGTCTCTCTCCGATACCCTCAGGTGTTTAGTTAACTGGAACCTCTGAGTCTCCACAGCCTTGAACCTGCTGGAATTCTGCTGTGTATCTCTTGAAGGTCTGCCTGAATGGCAGCTGGTTTAGCTATAGAACTGAGATCTGCTCATCCAAGTCCCTCACAAGAGGATAAGAAAAAGAGAGATAGACCAATAAATTATTCAAATCAAAAGAAGCACCCCATGGTGAGTCTTCTGAAGAGGATAGAGTTTGCTAAGGCTTCCTACTAGAAGTTCACAGTAGACAGCAGACAGAAACAAGTACAAAAATATCTTATTTGTCCAAAAAGATCCCACCTGTAGCCAAAGAAAAAGACCTCTTCAGAAGAGATGAAAGACAGGGAGAGGCATTCTCTACAGAACGCTGAGGAGAGGAGCCAGAGGCTATAAACTGAAGCTTCCACCAGCTCAAAATGAAATTAAATTTCTGATTTGTTCTGTACCAAAGTATTGTTTCATCCATCAGACCTTCCCTTGGCAGGATTTTGCACCTCCCATGTCCCAAATTAGTCAATCTGAAATTGTCACCAAAATATCAGAATGTTTAGCAAAAATAGAGAAGCAAAAGAAGAGAAGAAAACTAAATGTTCAGGGATTTTCTTAGTAGAAAAGAGACCAGACAGGCAAGGAAGATATGAACCATTAGTAAAATTTAATCAAACCCAAATGATAATTACTTACTACATGTCTGTTGTTTGCAAGTCACTGGGCTCAGGCTATAGTGGAACCAGGGTGAATAAGATGCATTACCGATTAAGAGAACTGATGTTCAGTGAAACAGACGGGCATAAATATACAGAGATAGAAAGGAGCTACTAAAATTTTTGGAAGATGGAGCTTAAAATCAGAAAGCAATTAAGTCATAGCTCAGAGTCTGTACATACCACTTGTATTAGGCTGTTACTGCATTGCCATAAAGAAGTACCTTACACTGGGTGGTTTGTGAAGAAAAGAGGTTTAATTTGCTCATGGTTCAGCAGTCTTTACAGGAAGCATGGAGCTGGTATCTTCTTGGTTTCTAGTGAAGCCTTGGGGAATTTTCCATCATAGTGGAAGTTGAAGGGGGAACAGGCAAGTCACATGGTGAAAGCAGGAGAGAGAAAGAGAGACTGGGGTGGAGGGAGGTGTCACACACTTTTAAATGACCAGATCTCATGTGAACTCAGAACAAGAGCTCACTTATCACTAAGGGGATGGTGTTAAACCATTCAGGAGAAATCCACCCCATGATCCAATCACCTCCCACCAGGCCCCACATCCAATACTGGGGATTGCAATTCAACATGAGATTTGGGCAGGGACACATATCCAAACTATATCACCATTCAATGGAAAAAATTTCCCTTCTTCTCCCCACTAAGCAAGTTTTTGTGATGTTTATGCTAAGATTTCAGTGTCTCTTTGCCATCTCTCATCATTGGATAGTAGTTTCTTGCCCTAACATGGCCTCCTTTCCTCTCCCCATAAGATAAGCTCTACTCAATTGCTTCTCTAATTCAGTCAAAAGATATATATTGAAAGACCATTGTGCCATTGTGCGCTGAAAACTTCACAAGTTTCTGTGCCTCGATCAAAACAAACTGCATATATAGTCCTTAAAATGAAAATTATTTCAATCTTCCTAGAGAAATTACATTTCTAGACAAATTACAATGCAGAAAATTAGGTAAGTGCTTGGAAATAATATTACAGAGAACACAAGATTTGGTTACTCAAGTGTGCTCTTCTTATTAAAATATATAGTATATCTGTGTTCTTTCTCAGTGTCAGTAAACGGTTTCTGTCTCACACACACATATACGCAGACATGATTTTGAAGTACTTATTGCCATAAGAAACAATTGCTGTAGTAAGTACTATTGCTATAGTAAATACTTACTGCTGTAGTAGAAATTATCTTAGAAATTGCTACAATCTTTTTTCTCTAGTCATTTATTTTTTGTCTGAATTAATCAATTGCATGTGTTAATTTTTGAACATTTTTTAAGCTCCTGAATTGAGAGTTTACAGAGGGATGTAAAGATAATTACTAAATTACTTTGCTGAAGTGTTCTGACATATCCATGAAAAAGAGAGTATAAATATTATGATTTTAAAAATTGCACATGAAACCTTTTGGTCATATTGCTGGAAAAGTAACTTCTTTTCAAATTTCTTATACGTACAAAATGCCAAGCATACCACATATCATCTTTTTTATACTATACGATTTCCCTAGAAACACTTGCAAATTTGTATAAATTTCACCTAGAGGAAAAGGACTGCAAGGATACTGTTGAATTTTGCATATGGCTTAAATAGAATTGATTTATAAAAAGGCAATATCGAAGCAACATAGATCAGGTGTAGCATTTTCTAACTCTAAATTTTCATACTGACCACAGCCCAGCTTAAGTAGAAAGACATATCTGTTCAATTTTCCTTCTTTTAGGTAATTTTGTTATATGTGTGAAATGTCTATTGTGTCTTAAATGCAGGCAGGTGGGGTAGAGAAAGAAAACTAATTTCTGAAATCCTAGAATTATAAACTTTGAGTTTCCTTAACCAGCCATCACTGTGTCCCCCAGAAAGGGATCTAGATATAGAGACAAAGTCAGTCAATAAACTAAATTAAGTGGGGCTTTGGGTGACCTGTGAAGTGGCAGTGAAGCTACAGGGAATCCTTTGGGCAATGCCAGAGGCCAGCCTATACTTGGATGTCAGTATTCCATGTGGCATGTTGAACCCTTTACTCTTCATGTGGGTTTATACTTTTCTGACCCTACCATTCCAGTGATGAGAAGAGGCAGGCAAGGCTAATTCCAGGAAGAACTTGTCAAGTAAGTGAAAGAGAAGCTCTCCCCACGCTTAGAGATCATAAGGAATGAGTCATCGACTCTTACCAGCTTTTCTTTGGACTCCATTTATTTTTATTTTTATTCTTCTTTTTATAGTTTCTATTCAGCTATTTTCATCATCCAGTCAACATAAGGATTTTTAAGGTTATTCAGATTAACTCCTTTCTTTTCCACCTCTGTTCGTGTGGATGTTACTCATTTATAATAGTTAGATTCAATTGCCAGAGTCTACATTTCATCTTGGGTTCTCTTGACATTCCAGTTATTTTTTTTTAAAGTTTCCATATAGTAAAATTCTTTCTTTGCAGTACATAATTCTGTGAGTGTTGACAAAAGCATAGTCATGTATTTACTTGCAAAAGTTCCAACACCCCCTAGATTCCCTAATGCTACCCTTTTGTGGCCAACTCCTCCCCTCAGATCCAACCCTGGCACCTTTCTGACTTTATTGTTTTGCATTGTTCTCAGACTGCTATATAACTGAAATTATTCAATATAAAGCTCTTTTTAGTTTAGCTTCTTTCACTTAGAAAAACACATTTAAGATTCTTTTGTATTGCTGGGTGAACTCATACTCTTTTCCTTCTTTTTGCTGAGTAGAGTTCTATTGTAGAAATGTACCACTGTTTCTTTTTACAATTATATGTTGAAGGACATTTTCATTGTTTCCAATTTTTGGACCTGATAAACAAGGCTCCTATGAATAGGCATGTACAAGTGTTTCTAGGTGTATTCTTACAATTTTCTAGGGTAAATGTCTAAGTGTGGGACTGCTGAGTTATGTGTTAAATGTGCATTTACACATTTATACATAACTGCCTCCTACCAAGTTGCTCTTCATCTTTGTCACACTTGGTGTTGTCACTTATTTTTTTCATTTTAACCATTCTAGTACTTGTAATAGTTGTATCTCCTTGAGATTAATTTGCATTTCCTTAATGACTAATGTTGCTGTGTATCTTTTCATGTGCTTATTTTTCGTTTGCATATCTTCTTTGGTAAATTATCTGTTTAAAGCTTTATCCCATTCCCACTTTTTAAAATGAACATTTTTGATTGCTGATTTTTGTAGATTTTTCAGGGTTCTTTATACATTTGCATAAAAGTACATGATCAGATATGTGAGTTGCATCTATTTTCTTCCAGGATATGACCTGTCTTTTGAAATATGTCAACAGTATCTTTTACAAAGCAAAATATTTTAATTTTGATAATTTATCCAAGTTGTAAATTTTTTTCTTTTATGAGTCTTGCTTTTGGAGTCATGTCTAAAAACTACTTGAAAAATCTAAATTCACACAGATTTTTTCCTATTTATTTCTAGACATTTTATAGTTTTAGGATTTACATGAATGTATATGGTCCATTTTGAATTAAATTTTGTATAAGGCGTGAGTTTTTTTTGCCAAGGTTCAATTTTTTTGCATATGGAGATTGAATTGTTTCAGCACAATTTGTTGAAAACACTATCCTTTCTTTCAGTTTGCCTTTGTACCTTTGTCAAAATCATTTGACTACGTTAGAATGGATTTATTTCTTGGCTTCATATTTTGTTCCTTTCATCTATGTGCCTGTCCTATTACTGATACTACATAATCCTGAATACTGTAGCATAACAGTAAGTCTTGAAAACAGATATTGGGAGTGTTCTAACTTTGTTCTTTTGTTTCAAAATCATATAAGAAGTTATTTTATTTTCTTTATCTTCCCATATACATTTTAGGATAAACCTGTGAATATCAACAGAAATCATTGCTGGGATTTTAATTGGGATTGCATTAACTCTATAGATCAAATTGGAAAAAGACTGAAATCTTAATAATATTGAGTCTCTTAATCCATGAGCACAGTACATTTTTCCAGTTATTTATGTTTTTTTACTTCCTTCATCAGGGTTTTGTAGTTGTAAGCATATAGATCCTTCTTATATTTTGTTTACACACAGACATAAACACACAGGTTTTATTATTTTTGTGCTATTATAATTTTTTAAATTCCAAATTCTAATTGTTTATTGCTAGTGTATAGAAATATGATTGACTATTATACATTGTCATTACATTCTGTAATTTTGATGCATTTACGTATTAGTTCTTGGAAGATTTTTTTTTGTATATTCTTTGAAATTTTCTTCATAGAAAATCATACCATCTGTGAATAGATACTTTTTTTCCCCTTCCTTTCTCTTATCTTATTGCACTAAGGCCGCTAGCATGATTTGTATGAAAGTGGTGAGAAAGGAAATTTTTACATTGCTCTTGATTATAAAAGGAAAGGTTTCAATCTTCCCTCATTATTAGGTCAGTTGCATAGTTTTAATTTTTTGAAGGCTTTTATCTATTTGTAGATATTCTTTCCTATTCCAAGTTTGCTGAGAGTTTTTTAAATCATGAATTGATGTTGAATTTTGACAAATGCCTTTTTCTCATCTATTAAAATGATCTTTTTTTGTTGTTTATCGAGTGAATTACATTGATTAATTTTTAAATGTTAAATCAGTTTGCATTCTTGGGATAAACTCCACTTGATTAAGATAGATTATTCTTTCACATTGCTATATTCAATTAGTTACACGTTTTTTGAGGATTTTTGTGTTCGTGTTGATGAGAGATACTTTTTAGTACTTTTCTTATAAAATCTTTGTCTAGTTTTGACATTAGAATAATATTGACCACAAAAAAAAGAGGGGCAAGGAATTCTTCTATTTTCTGTAGAGGATTTTGTGAACAGGGTAGTATTTCTTCCTTATATATTTGATAAAATTCACTAACAAAATCACTTGGGCCTGGAGGGTTCTTTTGGAGAGAATTTTAACTACAAATTCAATTTATTTAATAGTTATAGGATTATTGCATCTACCTGTTTCTTCTTAATTTTTTTACAGTCTCTGTCTTTTGAGGGATTGGTCAATTTTATTTAAGTTTTAGAATTGTGGATAGTATTTCTATAATATCCTGATAATGTCTGTGGTGTCGGTGGTAACCTTCTCTTACCATTCCTGAAACTGGTAGGTTTCATTTTATTTGTTTCTCCCTCCTCCATTTTGGTTAATCTAGCCAGAGGTTTATCAATTTTATTTAGCTTTCCAAAAAATAAACTTTTATTTTTATTTATTTTATTTTATTTTTTTGAGATTTAGTTTCCCTCTGTTGCCCAAGCTGGAGTGTAGTGGCCTGTTCTCGGCTCACTGCAACCTCTGTCTCCCAGGTTCGAACAATTCTCCTGCCTCAGCCTCCCAAGTAGCTGGGACTACAGGCAGAAACCGCCACATCCAGCTAATTTTTGCAGTTTTAGTAGTGAAGGAGTTTCACCATATTGGTCAGGGTGGTCTCGAACTCCTGACTTCAAGTTATCCACCTACCTTGGCCTCCCAAAGTGCTGGGATTATAAGCATGAGCCACCACCCCGGCCACAAAAAATAAATTTTTAGTTTTGCTAATTTTTATTTATCATTTTTCTGTTTTCAAATTCATTGACTTCTGATCTTATCTTTATTTCCTTTTTTCTGCTTGCCTTAGGTTTAATTTGCTCTTCTTTTTTTTTTAAGGTAGAAACTATTAAATTACTGCTTTGGGACCTCTCTGCTTTTCCAATATAAACATTTAAGGCTATAAATTTCCCTCTAAGCACTATTTCTGCTGCAAACCACAAATTTTGATGTATTGAATTTCCATATTCATTCACTTCAAATTATTTTTAAATTTCTCTTGAGATTTCCTCTTTAACCTGTGGATTATTTAGAATTATGTTGCTCAATTTTCAAATATTTGGAGATTTTTCCAAAACCTTAGTGTTATTGATTTCTATATGAATTTCATTATAATCTGAAAACATGTTTTGTATGGTTTCTATTTGAGTTAATCTGGTTAGCCACTGGGCTGTGTTTGAGATATGTTGCTGCTGTGGTTACACTAAGTGTGCCCTAGGTTTCAAATTCCTGCAGTCATACCTTGTGTTTGGCGTGAGAATTTGTATGCCAGAGTAATGTCTCATCTGTGTGCTGTACTTTAGGTTGCCTCTTGAAGCTTTTCCTCCTAGAAGATCTTTTTGCCTGCTTATATTCCATTTCTGTTCTCTTCCTGCAAATTCTGCTCTTAGCTGTAATTCGAAGTGTGTTCGTTTGCTAGTAGAAGGCATCATGGCAGAGTATTCTCTGCTGTTCTAATTAAACTTCTGTCTTAAACTGGCATCAAATCGTGGATTTCAGAGGTGTGGTCCTCTCAGTTCTCTTCTCCTCCCATCTCACAATTGTGAGCATAGTCCTGCTCTTTGCCCAGGAGAAGGTATTTTTTCCCCTCTATTCCCTTCTTCAAGCTGACCTGCATTTTCTCCAGTGCCCTAAGGACCAAAGTTTCTCCTCATTCATGACTGTTCTTTCTCAGCAAAATAGGCATATTCTTAATGCTCTTACAGAACTTTCTGTGAGTATCTGTTTTGAGTTCCTGGAAGAGAGACTATAAGAGCATGTCATGTCCCTCAAGGTCTCTTTGCTGGACTTCACACTATCCCACCAGCCCACACTTAGAATTCATCATTCATCTCATGGGGGTCTGCTTCTGGGTCGTGTCTATCCATGAAAGCATGTGCTTGTGTTTCCCTTATCTTTGCAGGGACCAATCTTTTCTCAGATTTTGGGCCATTGTTTGCTCTGTGAACTCAGCTCTCTAATGGGGAAAAAAATCATAACTGTTAAGTTAATCTGGCTCTTTTTCATTATAAGGATGAGAGAAACACTTCTTCCAGCTCACCATATCCTAGAAGTTTTTCATTAAATTTTCTAAGAGAAGAAAGCAAGACAGATCTTTCCCCATCTGCGAAATGGTTCTAGGCCTCTCTTACTATATAAGTTATGCTGGTCAAGAAAGGGAGATGAGGCAAGGAGGTTGGATTCCGAGAGAAGAGAAGCAGTATGGCCTGAAAGGTCTTGCATCTTCTTCTTCGACCAAATAGAAAACTCCATATCTAGCACCAAGGCCCAAAGTTGTCCTGGGTCTTGATCCTCCAAATTAAGCTT